>NC_000021.9:10975319-11029452 GCF_000001405.40 Homo sapiens
AGCATTCCAAGAAATTTTTTGTGATGTGTCCATTTACGTCACAGAGTTGAACCTCTCCTTTGATTGGGCAGTTTGGAAACAGTCTTTTTGTAGAACCTGCAGAGGGATATTTGTGAGCCCTTTATGGCCTGTAGTGAAATACGAAGTATCTTCACCTAAAAACTAGACAGAAGGTTTCTGAGAAACTTCTTGGTGATGTGTGCCTTCATCTCACAGTGTTGAACCTTTCTTTTGATTGAGCAGTTTGCAAAGTCTTTCTGTAGAATCTGTAAATGGATATTTGGAGATATTTGAGGCCCGTGGTGAAAAAGGAAGTATCTTCACCTAAAAACCAGACAGAAAGATTTCTGAAAAACCTCTTTGTTATGTGTGAATTCATGTCACAGAATTCAACCTTTCTTTCACTTGAGCAGTTTGGAAACAGTCTTTGGTAGAAGATGCAGAGGGAAATTTCTTAGCTGCTTCAGGCCTATGGTGAAAAAGAAATATCTTCACAGAAAAACTAGACAGAAGCTTTCTGAGAAACTTCTTTGTGATGTGTCCATTCATCGCACAGAGTGAAACCTTTCTTTTGATTGAGGAGTTTGGAAAAGGTCTTTTCTTAGAATCTGCAAAGGGATATTTGTGAGCCCTTTATGGCCTTTGTTGAAATATGAAATATCTTCACGTAAAAAGTAGACAGAAGCTTTCTGACAAATTTCTTGGTGATGTGCACGTTTGTCACACGGAATTGAACCCTTCTTCTGATTGAGCAGTTTGGAATCAGTCTTTTTGTAGAATCTGTGAATGTGTATTTAGAGAGTTTTAAGGCCTAGGGTGCAAGAGGCAATGTCTTCACATAAAAACGACACAGTAGCATTTTGAGAAAACTCTTTGTGACATTTCCATTCATCTCTAATAGTTGGCCGTTTCCTTTCATTGAGCAGTTTGGAAGCAGTCTTTTTCTACAACCTGCAAAGGGATATTTCTGAGCGGTTTGGGGCCAACGGTGAAAAATAAATATCTTCCCATGAAAACTAGACAGAAGCATTTTGAGAAACTTCTTTTTGATGTGTGTATTCATCTCACAGATTTGAACCTTTCTTTAGATTTAGCAATTTGGAGAAAGTCTCTTGGTAGTATAAGTGGAGTTATATTTGCGAGCGGTTTAAGGCCTATGGTGCCAAAGGAAATACCTTCACATAAAATGCAGACAGAGGCTTTCCGAGAAACTTCTTTGTGATGTGTGCTTTCGTCTCACAGAGTTGTGCCTTTCTTTTGATTGACCAGTTTGGGAACATTCTTTTTGTAGAATCTGCAAATGGATATTTGGAGCAATTTGTGGCCTACGGTGAAAAAGGAAATATCTTCACAGAAAAACTAGACAGGCAGACTCCTGAGAAACTTCTTTTTGATGAGTGCATTCATTTCACATAGTTGAAACATGCCATAGGGGCCAGTTTGGAAACAGTCTTTTGGTAGAGTCTGCAGACAGATATTTTTGAGTGGCTTAAAGACTATGGTGAAAAAGGAAACATCTTCACATAGCAACCAGACAGAAGCAACCTGAGAAACTTCTTTGGGATGTGTTCATTCATCTCACAATGTTGAACGTTTCTTTTGATTGAGAAGTTTGTAAAGAGAACTTTTGTAGAATCCGCAAAGAGATATGTGTGAGTCCCTTGATTCCTATGGCAAAATAGGAATTATCTTGAGATAAAAGCGAGACAGAAGATTTCTGAGAAACTTTTTTGTGATGTGTGCTTTCATCTCACAGAGTTGAAAATTTCTTTTGATTGAGTAGTTTGGAAACAGTCTTTTCGTATCATCTGCAAACGGATGTTTGGAGCGCTTTGTGGCCTAAGGTGAAAATGGAAACATCTTCACATAAAAACTAGACAGAAGAATTCTGAGGAACCTCTTTATGATGTGTGCATTCATCTCAGATGGGTGAAATTTTCTTTTGATGGAGCAGTTTGGAAACAGTCTTTTTCTAGTATCTGCAGAAGGATATTTGTGAGCGGTGTAAGGCCTATGGTGAAAAAGGAAATATCTTCACATAAAAACCAGACAGAAGCCTTCTGAGGAACTTCTTTGTGATGTGTGCGTTCATCTCACCGTGTTGAAACTTTATTTTATTTGAGCAGTTTAGAGACAGTGTTTCTCTGCAATCTGCAAAGGTCTAACTCTGAGCCCTTTGAGGTCTATGGTGAAAAAGAAATGTCTTCACATTTAAACTAGACAGAAGCATTCTGAGGAACTTCGTTGTGATGCCTCCATTCATCTGACAGAGTTGAAGCTTTCTTCTAATTCAGCACTTTGGAAGGCATATTTTTGTAGAATCTGCAAAGGGATATTTTTTAGACTTTTGAAGCCTATAGTGAAATAGTAAATATCTTCCCATGAAAACTAGACAGGAGAATTCTGAGAAACTTCATTCTGACGTGGGCATTAACCTCAGAGAATTTAACCTTCCTTTTGATTGAGAAGTATGGAAACGGTCGTCTTTTAGAATCTGGAAAGGGATATTTCTTAGCCCTTTGAGGCCTACGGTGAAACTGGAAATATCTTCACATGAAAAGTAGACCGAAAGCTTTCGGAGAAACTTCTTTGAGATGTGTGCTTTCACCTCACAGAGTTAAACACTTTCTTTTGATGGAGCAGTTTGGAAACACTCTTTCTGTGACATCTGTAAATGGATATTAGGAGTGCTTTGAGGCCAATGGTGACAAAGGAAGTATCTTCACATAAAAACTACACAGAAGTTTTCTGAGAAACTACTTTTTGATGTGTCCACTAATCGAACAGAGTTAAAACTTTCTTTTTATTGAGCAGTTTGGATACAGTGTTTTCGGAGAATCTGCAAAAAACATTTGTGAGCCCTTTATTGCCTATGGTGAAATAGGAATCTTCTTCACATGTAAACTAGACAGAAGCTTTCTGAGGAACGTCTTCGTGACGTGTGCATTCGTCTCACATAGTTGAAACTTTCTTTGGATTGAGCAGTTTTGAAACAGTCCTTTTGTAGGATCTGCAAGGGGATATTTCTGAGCCCATTGAGTACTGTGATGCAATGTGAAGTATCTTCACATAAAAACTAGACAGACGCTTTCTAAGAAACTTCGTTGTGATGTGTGCTTTCATCGCACAGAATTGAAGCTATCCTTTGATTGAGGAGTTTGGAAACACTCTTTTTCTAGAATCTGCAAATGGATATTTGGAGAGCTTTTGAGGCCCGTGGTGAAAAACGAAATATCTTCACGTAAAAACTAAACAGAAGCTTTCTGAGAAACTCCCTTGCGATGTGTGCATTCACCTCACCGAGTGGAAACTTTCTTTTGATTGAGCAGATTGGAAAGAGGCTTATCGTACAACCTGCAAAGGGAGAATTCTGATCCGTTTGAGGCTTATGGTGAAAGAGAAATATCTTCCCATCAAAACTAGACGGAAGGATTCCAAGAAATTTTTTGTGATGTGTCCGTTTACGTCACAGAGTTGAACCTCTCCTTCTATTGGGCAGTTTGGGAACAGTCTTTTTGTAGAACCTGCAGAGGGATATTTGTGAGCCCTTTATGGCCTGTGGTGAAATACGAAGTATCTTCACCTAAAAACTAGACAGAAGGTTTCTGAGAAACTTCTTGGTGATGTGTGCCTTCATCTCACAGTGTTGAACCTTTCTTTTGATGGAGCAGTTTGGAAAGTCTTTCTGTAGAATCTGCAAATGGATATTTGGAGATATTTGAGGCCCGTGGTGAAAAAGGAAGTATCTTCACCTAAAAACCAGACAGGAGATTTCTGAAAAACCTCTTTGTGATGTGTGAATTCATGTCACAGAATTCAACCTTCCTTTCAGTTGAGCAGTTTGGAACCAGTCTTTTGTGGAAGCTGCAGAGGGAAATTTCTTAGCTGCTTGAGGCCTATGGTGAACAAGAAATAGCCTCACATAAAAAGTAGACAGAAGCTTTCTGAGAAACTTCTTCGTGATGTGTCCATTCATCTCACAGAGTTAAACCTTTCTTTTGGTTGAGGAGTTTGGAAAACGTCTTTTCTTAGAATCTGCGAAGGGATATTTGTGAGCCCTTTATGGCCTTTGTTGAAATATGAAATATCTTCACATAAAAAGTAGACAGAAGCTTTCTGACAAATTTCCTTGGTGATGTGCACGTTTGTCACACGGAATTGAACCCTTCTTCTGATTGAGCAGTTTGGAATCAGTCTTTTTGTAGAATCTGTGAATGTGTATTGAGAGAGTTTTAAGGCCTAGGGTGCCAAAGGCAATGTCTTCACATAAAAACGACACAGTAGCTTTTTGAGAAAACTCTTAGTGACATTTCCATTCATCTCTAATAGTTGGCCGTTTCCTTTCATTGAGCAGTTTGGAAGCAGTCTTTTTCTACAAACTGCAAAGGGATATTTCTGAGCGGTTTGGGGCCAACGGTGAAAAATAAATATCTTCCCATGAAAACTAGACAGAAGCATTTTGAGAAACTTCTTTTTGATGTGTGTATTCATCTCACAGAGTTGAACCTTTCTTTAGATTTAGCAATTTGGAGAAAGTCTCTTGGTAGTATAAGTGGAGTTATATTTGCGAGCGGTTTAAGTCCTACGGTGCCAAAGGAAATACCTTCACATAAAATGCAGACAGAGGCTTTCCGAGAAACTTCTTTGTGATGTGTGCTTTCGTCTCACACAGTTGCGCCTTTCTGTTGATTGACCAGTTTGGGAACATTCTTTTTGTAGAATCTGCAAATGGATATTTGGAGCAATTTGTGGCCTACGGGGAAAAAGGAAATATCTTCACATAAAAACTAGACAGGAGAATCCTGAGAAACTTCTTTTTGATGAGTGCATTCATTTCACATAGTTGAAACATGCTATATGGGCCAGTTTGGAAACAGTCTTTTTGTAGAGTCTGCAGACAGGTATGTTTGAGTGGCTTAAAGACCACGGTGAAAAAGGAAACATCTTCACATAGCAACCAGACAGAAGCAACCTGAGAAACTTCTTTGGGATGTGTTCATTCATCTCACAATGTTGAACGTTTCTTTTGATTGAGAAGTTTGTAAAGAGAACTTTTGTAGAATCCGCAAAGGGATATGTGTGAGCCCCTTGATTCCTATGGCAAAATAGGAATTATCTTGAGATAAAAGCGAGACAGAAGATTTCTGAGAAACTTTTTTGTGATGTGTGCTCTCATCTCACAGAGTTGAAAATTTCTTTTGATTGAGCAGTTTGGAAACAGTCCTTTCGTATCATCTGCAAACGGATGTTTGGAGCGCTTTGTGGCCTAAGGTGAAAATGGAAACATCTTCACATAAAAACTAGACAGAAGAATTCTGAGGAACTTCTGTATGATGTGTGCATTCATCTCAGATAGGTGAAATTTTCTTTTGATGGAGCAGTTTGGAAACAGTCTTTTTATAGTATCTGCAGAAGGATATTCGTGAGCGGTGTAAGGCCTATGGTGAAAAAGGAAATATCTTCATATTAAAACCAGACAGAAAGCTTTCTGAGGAACTTCTTTGTGATGTGTGCATTCATCTCACCGTGTTGAAACTTTATTTTATTTGAGCAGTTTAGAGACAGTCTTTCTCTGCAATCTGCAAAGGTCTAATTCTGAGCCCTTTGAGGTCTATGGTGAAAAAGAAATATCTTCACATTTAAACTAGACAGAAGCATTCTGAGGAACTTCTTTGTGATGTCTCCATTCATCTGACAGAGTTGAAGGTTTCTTTTAATTCAGCACTTTGGAAGGCATATTTTTGTAGAATCTGCAAAGGGATATTTTTGAGACATTTGAAGCCTATAGTGAAATAGTAAATATCTTCACATGAAAACTAGACAGGAGAGTTCTGAGAAACTTCATTCTGATGTGTGCATTAACCTCACAGAATTTAACCTTTCTTTTGATTGAGAAGTATGGAAATGGTGGTCTTTTAGAATCTGGAAAGGGATATTTCTTAGCCCTTTGAGGCCTATGGTGAGACTGGAAATATCATCACATGAAAACTAGACCGAAGCTTTCGGACAAACTTCTTTGAGATGTGTGCTTTCACCTCACAGAGTTAAACACTTTCTTTTGATTGAGCAGTTTGGAAACACTCTTTCTGTGACATCTGTAAATGGATATTAGGAGTGCTTTGAGGCCAATGGTGACAAAGGAAGTATCTTCACATAAAAAGTACACAGAAGTTTTCTGAGAAACTACTTTTTGATGTGTCCATTAACCTAACAGAGTTAAAACTTTCTTTTTATTGAGCAGTTTGGGTACAGTCTTTTTGTAGAATCTGCAAAACATATTTGTGAGCCCTTTATTGCCTATGGTGGAATAGGAATCTTCTTCACATATAAACTAGACAGAAGCATTCTGAGGAAGGTCGTCGTGACGTGTGCATTCGTCTCACATAGTTGAAGCTTTCTTTGGATTGAGCAGTTTTGAAACAGTCCTTCTGTAGGATCTGCAAGGGGATATTTCTGAGCCCATTGAGTACTGTGATGCAATGTGAAGTATCTTCACATAAAAACTAGACAGACGCTTTCTAAGAAACTTCGTTGTGATGTGTGCTTTCGTCTCACAGAATTGAAACTATCCTTTGATTGAGGAGTTTGGAAACACTCTTTTTCTAGAGTCTGCAAATGGATATTTGGAGAGCTTTTGAGGTCCGTGGTGAAAAACGAAATATCTTCACGTAAAAACTAAACAGAAGCTTCCTGAGAAACTCCCTTGCGAAGTGTGTGCATTCACCTCACCGAGTGGAAACTTTCTTTTGATTGAGCAGATTGGAAAGAGGCTTATTGTACAATCTGCAAAGGGAGAATTCTGATCCGTTTGAGGCTTCTGGTGAAAGAGAAATATCTTCCCATAAGAACTAGACGGAAGCATTCCAAGAAATTGTTTGTGATGTGTCCATTCACGTCACAGAGTTGAACCTCTCCTTTGATTGATCAGTTTGGAAACAGTCTTTTTGTAGAACCTGCAGAGGGATATTTGTGAGCCCTTTAAGGCCTGTGGTGAAATACGAAGTATCTTCACCTAAAAACTAGACAGAAGGTTTCTGAGAAACTTCTTGGTGATGTGTGCCTTCATCTCACAGTGTTGAACCTTTCTTTTCATTGAGCAGTTTGCAAAGTCTTTCTGTAGAATCTGCAAATGGATATTTGGAGATATTTGAGGCCCGTGGTGAAAAAGGAAGTATCTTCACCTAAAAACCAGACAGAAGATTTCTGAAAAACCTCTTTGTGATGTGTGAATTCATGTCACAGAATTCAACCTTTCTTTCAGTTGAGCATTTTGGAAACAGTCTTTGGTAGAAGCTGCAGAGGGAAATTTCTTAGCTGCTTGAGGCCTATGGTGAAAAAGAAATATCTTCACAGAAAAACTAGACAGAAGCTTTCTGAGAAACTTCTTCGTGATGTGTCCATTCATCTCACAGAGTTAAACCTTTCTTTTGATTGAGGAGTTTGGAAAACGTCTTTTCTTAGAATCTGCGAAGGGATATTTGTGAGCCCTTTATGGCCTTTGTTGCAATATGAAATATCTTCACATAAAAAGTAGACAGAAGCTTTCTGACAAATTTCTTGGTGATGTGCACGTTTGTCACACGGAATTGAACCCTTCTTCTGATTGAGCAGTTTGGATTCAGTCTTTTTGTAGAATCTGTGAATGTGTATTTAGAGAGTTTTAAGGCCTAGGGTGCAAAAGGCAATGTCTTCACATAAAAACGACACAGTAGCTTTTTGAGGAAACTCTTTGTGACATTTCCATTCATCTCTAATAGTTGGCCATTTCCTTTCATTGAGCAGTTTGGAAGCAGTCTTTTTCTACAAACTGCAAAGGGATATTTCTGAGCGGTTTGGGGCCAACGGTGAAAAATAAATATCTTCCCATGAAAACTAGACAGAAGCATTTTGAGAAACTTCTTTTTGATGTGTGTATTCATCTCACAGAGTTGAACCTTTCTTTAGATTTAGCAATTTGGAGAAAGTCTCTTGGTAGTATAAGTGGAGTTATATTTGCGAGCGGTTTAAGGCCTATGGTGCCAAAGGAAATACCTTCACATAAAATGCAGACAGAGGCTTTCCGAGAAACTTCTTTGTGATGTGTGCTTTCGTCTCACAGAGTTGCGCCTTTCTTTTGATTGACCAGTTTGGGAACATTCTTTTTGTAGAATCTGCAAATGGATATTTGGAGCAATTTGTGGCCTACGGTGAAAAAGGAAATATCTTCACATGAAAACTAGACAGGAGAATCCTGAGAAACTTCTTTTTGATGAGTGCATTCATTTCACATAGTTGAAACATGCTATATGGGCCAGTTTGGAAACAGTCTTTTGGTAGAGTCTGCAGACAGATATTTTTGAGGGGCTTAGAGACTATGGTGAAAAAGGAAACATCTTCACATAGCAACCAGACAGAAGCAACCTGAGAAATGTCTTTGGGATGTGTTCATTCATCTCACAATGTTGAACGTTTCTCTTGATTGAGAAGTTTGTAAGGAGAACATTTGTAGAATCTGCAAAGGGGTATATGTGAGCCCCTTGATTCCTATGGCAAAATAGGAATCATCTTGAGATAAAAGCGAGACAGAAGATTTCTGAGAAACTTTTTTGTGATGTGTGCTTTCATCTCACAGAGTTGAAAATTTCTTTTGATTGAGCAGTTTGGAAACAGTCTTTTCGTATCATCTGCAAACGGATGTTTGGAGCGCTTTGTGGCCTAAGGTGAAAATGGAAACATCTTCACATAAAAACTAGACAGAAGAATTCTGAGGAACTTCTTTATGATGTGTGCATTCATCTCACATGGGTGAAATTTTCTTTTGATGGAGCAGTTTGGAAACAGTCTTTTTCTAGTATCTGCAGAAGGATATTTGTGAGCGGTGTAAGGCCTATGGTGAAAAAGGAAATATCTTCACATAAAAACCAGACAGAAGCTTTCTGAGGAACTTCTTTGTGATGTGTGCATTCATCTCACCGTGTTGAAACTTTAAGTTATTTGAGCAGTTTAGAGACAGTCTTTCTCTGCAATCTGCAAAGGTCTAACTCTGAGCCCTTTAAGGTCTATGGTGAAAAAGAAATGTCTTCACATTTAAACTAGACAGAAGCATTCTGAGGAACTTCTTTGTGATGTCTCCATTCATCTGACAGAGTTGAAGGTTTCTTTTAATTCAGCACTTTGGAAAGCATATTTTTGTAGAATCTGCAAAGGGATATTTTTGAGACATTTGAAGCCTATAGTGAAATAGTAAATATCTTCACATGAAAACTAGACAGGAGAATTCTGAGAAACTTCATTCTAATGTGTGCATTCACCTCACAGAATTTAACCTTTATTTTGATTGAGCAGTATGGAAATGGTCCTCTTTTAGAATCTGCAAAGGGATATTTCTTAGCCCTTTGAGGCCTATGGTGAAACTGGAAATATCTTCACATGAAAACTAGACCGAAGCTTTCTGAGAAATTTCTTTGAAATGTGTGCTTTCATCTCACAGAGTTAAAACTTTCTTTTGATTGAGCAGTTTAGAAACACTCTTTTTGTGAAATCTGTAAATGGATATTAGGAGCACTTTGAGGCCAATGGTGACAAAGGATATATCTTCATGTAAAAACTAAACAGAAGTTTTCTGAGAAACTACTTTTTGATGTGTCCATTAATCTAACAGAGTTGAAACTTTCTTTTTATTTAACAGTTTGGATATAGTATTTTTGTAGAATCTGCCAAAAATATTTGTGAGCCCTTTATTGCCTATGGTGAAATAGGAATTTTCTTCACATATAAACTAGACAGAAGCATTCTGAGGAACGTCTTCGTGACGTGTGCATTCATCTCACATAGTTGAAACTTTCTTTGGATTGAGCAGTTTTGAAACAGTCCTTTTGTGGGATCTGCAAGGGGATATTTCTGAGCCCATTGAGTACTGTGATGCAATGTGAAGTATCTTCACATAAAAACTACACAGACGCTTTCTAAGAAACTTCGTTGTGATGTGTGCTTTCATCTCACAGAATTGAAACTATCCTTTGATGGAGGAGTTTGGAAACACTCTTTTTCTAGAATCTGCAAAGGGATATTTGGAGAGCTTTTCAGGCCCGTGGTGAACAACGAAATATCTTCACGTAAAAACTAAACAGAAGCTTTCTGAGAAACTCCCTTGCGATGTGTGCATTCACCTCAGCGAGTGGAAACTTTCTTTTGATTGAGCAGATTGGAAAGAGGCTTATCGTACAATCTGCAAAGGGAGAATTCTGATCCGTTTGAGGCTTATGGTGAAAGAGAAATATCTTCCCATGAGAACTAGACGGAAGCTTTCTGAGAAACTTCTTCATGATGTGTCCATTCATCTCACAGAGTTAAACCTTTCTTTTGATTGAGGAGTTTGGCAAACGTCTTTTCTTAGAATCTGCGAAGGGATATTTGTGAGCCCTTTATGGCCTTTGTTGAAATATGAAATATCTTCACATAAAAAGTAGACAGAAGATTTCTGAGAAAATTCTTTCTGATGTGTGCTTTCATCTCACAGTGTTGAACCTTTCTTTTGATTGAGCAGTTTGGAAAGTCTGTTTGTCGAATCTGCAAATGGATATTTGGAACTATTTGAGGCCCATGGTGAAAAAGAAAGTATCTTCACATAAAAACTAGACAGAAGATTTCTGAGAAACTTCTTTGTGTTGTGTAAATTCATGTCACAGAATTCAACCTTTCTTTCGATTGAGCAGTTTGGAAACAGTATTTTGTAGAAGCTGCAAAGGGAAATTTCTTAGCCGTTTGAGTCCTATAGTGAAAAAGAAATATCTTCACATAAAAACTAGACAGAAGCTTTCTGAGAAACTTCTTCGTGATGTGTCCATTCATCTCACAGTGTTAAACCTTTCTTTTGAGTGAGGAGTTTGGAAAACGTCTTTTCTTAGAATCTGCGAAGGGATATTTGTGAGCCCTTTAAGGCCTTTGTTGAAATATGAAATATCTTCACATAAAAAGTAGACAGAAGCTTTCTGACAAATTTCTTTGTGATGTGCAAGTTTGTCACACGGAATTGAACCCTTATTCTGATTGAGCAGTTTGGAATCAGTCTTTTTGTAGAATCTGTGAATGTGTATTTAGGGAGTTTTAAGGCCTAGGGTGCAAAAGGCAATGTCTTCACATAAAAACGACACAGTAGCTTTTCGAGAAAACTCTTTGCGACATTTCCATTCATCTCTAATAGTTGACCATTTCCTTTCATTCAGCAGCTTGGAAGCAGTCTTTTTCTACAAACTGCAAAGGGATATTTCTGAGCGGTTTGGGGCCAATGGTGAAAAATAAATATCTTCCCATGAAAACTAGACAGAAGCATTTTGAGAAACTTCTTTTGATGTGTGTATTCATCTCACAGAGTTGAACCTTTCTTTTGATTTAGCAATTTGGAGAAAGTCTCTTGGTAGTATAAGTGGAGTTATATTTGCGAGCGGTTTAAGGCCTATGGTGCCAAAGGAAATACCTTCACATAAAATGTAGACAGAGGCTTTCCGAGAAACTTCTTTGTGATGTGTGCTTTCGTCTCACAGAGTTGCGCCTTTCTTTTGATTGACCAGTTTGGGAACATTCTTTTTGTAGAATCTGCAAATGGATATTTGGAGCAATTTGTGGCCTATGGTGAAAAAGGAAATATCTTCACATAAAAACTAGACAGGAGAATCCTGAGAAACTTCTTTTTGATGAGTGCATTCATTTCACATAGTTGAAACATGCTATGTGGGCCAGTTTGGAAACAGTCTTTTGGTAGAGTCTGCAGACAGATATTTTTGAGTGGCTTAAAGACTATGGTGAAAAAGGAAACATCTTCACATAGCAACCAGACAGAAGCAACCTGAGAAACGTGTTTGGGATGTGTTCATTCATCTCACAATGTTGAACGTTTCTTTTGATTGAGAAGTTTGTAAGGAGAACTTTTGTAGCATCTGCAAAGGGGTATATGTGAGCCCCTTGATTCTTATGGCAAAATAGGAATTATCTTGAGATAAAAGCGAGACAGAAGATTTCTGAGAAACTTTTTTGTGATGTGTGCTTTCATCTCACAGAGTTGAAAATTTCTTTTGATTGAGCAGTTTGGAAACAGTCTTTTCGTATCATCTGCAAATGGATGTTTGGGGCGCTTTGTGGCCTAAGGTGAAAATGGAAACACCTTCACATAAAAACTAGACAGAAGAATTCTGAGGAACTTCTTTATGATGTGTGCATTCATCTCAGATAGGTGAAATTTTCTTTTGATGGAGCAGTTTGGAAACCGTCTTTTTATAGTATCTGCAGAAGGATACTTGTGAGCGGTGTAAGGCCTATGGTGAAAAAGGAAATATCTTCACATAAAAACCAGACAGAAGCTTTCTGAGAAACTTCTTTGTGATGTGTGCATTCATCTCACAGTGTTGAAACTTTATTTTATTTGAGCAGTTTAGAGACAGTCTATTTCTGCAATCTGCAAAGGCATATTTCTGAGCCATTTGAGGTCTGTGGTGAAAGAGAAATATCTTCACATTTAAACTAGACAGAAGCATTCCGAGGAACTTCTTTGTGATGTCTCTATTCATCTGACAGATTTGAAGGTTTCTTTTAATTCAGCACTGTGGAAACCATATTTTTGTAGAATCTGCAAAGGGATATTTTTGAGACCTTTGAAGCCTATAGTGAAATAGTAAATATCTTCACATAGAAACTAGACAGGAGAATTCTGAGAAACTTCATTCTGATGTGTGCATTAACCTCACAGAATTTAACGTTTCTTTTGATTGAGAAGTATGGAAATGGTGGTCTTTTAGAACCTGGAAAGGGATATTTCTTAGCCCTTTGAGGCCTATGGTGAGACTGGAAATATCATCACATGAAAACTAGTCCGAAGCTTTCTGAGAAACTTCTTGGAGATGTGTGCTTTCACCTCACAGAGTTAAACACTTTCTTTTGATTGAGCTGTTTGGAAACACTCTTTTTGTGAAATCTGTAAATGGATATTAGGAGTGCTTTGAGGCCAATGGTGACAAAGGAAATATCTTCACATAAAAACTAAACAGAAGTTTTCTGAGAAACTACTTTTTGATATGTCCATTAACCTAACAGAGTTAAAACCTTCTTTTTATTGAGCAGTTTGGATACAGTCCTTTTGTACAATCTGCAAAACATATTTGTGAGCCCTTTATTGCCTATGGTGAAATAGGAATCTTCTTCACATATAAACTAGACAGAAGCATTCTGAGGAACTTCTTCGTGACGTGTGCATTCGTCTCACATAGTTGAAGCTTTCTTTGGATTGAGCAGTTCTGAAACAGTCCTTTTGTAGGATCTGCAAGGGGATATTTCTGAGCCCATTGAGTACTGTGATGCAATGTGAAGTATCTTCACATAAAAACTAGACAGACGCTTTCTAAGAAACTTCGTTGTGATGTGTGCTTTCATCTCACAGAATTGAAACTATCCTTTGATTGAGGAGTTTGGAAACACTCTTTTTCTAGAATCTGCAAATGGATATTTGGAGAGCTTTTGAGGCCCGTGGTGAAAAACGAAATATCTTCACGTAAAAACTAAACAGAAGCTTCCTGAGAAACTCCCTTGCGATGTGTGCATTCACCTCACCGAGTGGAAACTTTCTTTTGATTGAGCAGATTGGAAAGAGGCTTATTGTACAATCTGCAAAGGGAGAATTCTGATCCGTTTGAGGCTTCTGGTGAAAGAGAAATATCTTCCCATAAGAACTAGACGGAAGCATTCCAAGAAATTGTTTGTGATGTGTCCATTCACGTCACAGAGTTGAACCTCTCCTTTGATTGATCAGTTTGGAAACAGTCTTTTTGTAGAACCTGCAGAGGGATATTTGTGAGCCCTTTAAGGCCTGTGGTGAAATACAAAGTATCTTCACCTAAAAACTAGACAGAAGGTTTCTGAGAAACTTCTTGGTGATGTGTGCCTTCATCTTACCGTGTTGAACCTTTCTTTTGATTGAGCAGTTTGGAAAGTCTTTCTGTAGAATCTGCAAATGGATATTTGGAGATATTTGAGGCCCGTGGTGAAAAAGGAAGTATCGTCACCTAAAAACCAGACAGAAGATTTCTGAAAAACCTCTTTGTGATGTGTGAATTCATGTCACAGAATTCAACCTTTCTTTCAGTTGAGCAGTTTGGAAACAGTCTTTGGTAGAAGCTGCAGAGGGCAATTTCTTAGCTGCTTGAGGCCTATGGTGAAAAAGAAATATCTTCACAGAAAAACTAGACAGAAGCTTTCTAAGAAACTTCTTTGTGATGTGTCCATTCATCTCACAGAGTTAAACCTTTCTTTTGATTGAGGAGTTTGGAAAATGTCTTTTCTTAGAATCTACAAAGGGATATTTGTGAGCCCTTTATGGCCTATGTTGAAATATGAAATATCTTCACATAAAAACTAGACAGAAGCTTTCTGACAAATTCCTTGGTGATGTGCACGTTTGCCACACGGAATTGAACCCTTCTTCTGATTGAGCAGTTTGGAATCAGTCCTTTTGTAGAATCTGTGAATGTGTACTGAGAGAGTTTTAAGGCCTAGGGTGCCAAAGGCAATGTCTTCACATAAAAACGACACAGTAGCTTTTTGAGAAAACTCTTTGTGACATTTCCATTCATCTCTAATAGTTGGCCATTTCCTTACATTGAGCAGTTTGGAAGCAGTCTTTTTCTACAAACTGCAAAGGGATATTTCTGAGCGGTTTGGGGCCAACGGTGAAAAATAAATATCTTCCCATGAAAACTAGACGGAAGCATTTTGAGAAACTTCTTTTTGATGTGTGTATTCATCTCACAGGGTTGAAACTTTCTTTTGATTTAGCAATTTGGAGAAAGTCTCTTGGTAGTATAAGTGGAGTCATATTTGCGAGCGGTTTAAGGCCTATGGTGCCAAAGGAAATACCTTCACATAAAATGTAGACAGAGGCTTTCCGAGAAACTTCTTTGTGATGTGTGCTTTCGTCTCACAGAGTTGCGCCTTTCTGTTGATTGACCAGTTTGGGAACATTCTTTTTGTAGAATCTGCAAATGGATATTTGGAGCAATTTGTGGCCTACGGTGAAAAAGGAAATATCTTCACATAAAAACTAGACAGGAGACTCCTGAAAAACTACTTTTTGATGAGTGCATTCGTTTCACATAGTTGAAACATGCCATATGGGCCAGTTTGGAAAGAGTCTTTTTGTAGAGTCTGCAGACAGATATTTTTGAGTGGCTTAAAGGCTATGGTGAAAAAGGAAACATCTTCACATAGCAACCAGACAGAAGCAACTTGAGAAATGTCTTTGGGATGTGTTCATTCATCTCACAATGTTGAACGTTTCTCTTGATTGAGAAGTTTGTAAGGAGAACATTTGTAGAATCTGCAAAGGGGTATATGTGAGCCCCTTGATTCCTATGGCAAAATAGGAATCATCTTGAGATAAAAGCGAGACAGAAGATTTCTGAGAAACTTTTTAGTGATGTGTGCTTTCATCTCACAGAGTTGAAAATTTCTCTTGATTGAGCAGTTTGGAAACAGTCTCTTCGTATCATCTGCAAACGGATGTTTGGGGCGCTTTGTGGCCTAAGGTGAAAATGGAAACATCTTCACATAAAAACTAGACAGAAGAATTCTGAGGAACTTCTGTATGATGTGTGCATTCATCTCAGATAGGTGAAATTTTCTTTTGATGGAGCAGTTTGGAAACAGTCTTTTTATAGTATCTGCAGAAGGATATTTGTGAGCGGTGTAAGGCCTATGGTGAAAAAGGAAATATCTTCACATAAAAACCAGACAGAAGCTTTCTGAGGAACTTCTTTGTGATGTGTGCATTCATCTCACCGTGTTGAAACTTTATGTTATTTGAGCAGTTTAGAGACAGTCTTTCTCTGCAATCTGCCAAGGTCCAACTCTGAGCCCTTTGAGGTCTATGGTGAAAAAGAAATGTCTTCACATTTCAACTAGACAGAAGCATTCCGAGGAACTTCTTTGTGATGTCCCCATTCATCTGACAGAGTTGAAGGTTTCTTTTAATTCAGCACTGTGGAAACCATATTTTTGTAGAATCTGCAAAGGGATATTTTTGAGACCTTTGAAGCCTATAGTGAAATAGTAAATATCTTCACATAGAAACTAGACAGGGAGAATTCTGAGAAACTTCATTCTGATGTGTGCATTCACCTCACAGAATTTAACCTTTCTTTTGATTGAGCAGTATGGAAATGTTCGTCTTTTAGAATTTGGAAAGGGATATTTCTTAGCCCTTTGAGGCCTATGGTGAAACTGGAAATATCTTCACATGAAAACTAGACCAAAGCTTTCTGAGAAAGTTCTTTGAGATGTGTGCTTTCATCTCACAGAGTTAAAACTTTCTTTTGATTGAGCAGTTTGGAAACACTCTTTTTGTGATATCTGTAAATGGATATTAGGAGTGCTTTGAGGCCAATGGTGACAAAGGAAATATCCTCACATAAAAACTAAACAGAAGTTTTCTTGAGAAACTACTTTTTGATGTGTCCATTAACCTAACAGAGTTAAAACTTTCTTTTTATTGAGCAGTTTGGGTACAGTCTTTTTGTAGAATCTGCAAAACATATTTGTGAGCCCTTTATTGCCTATGGTGGAATAGGAATCTTCTTCACATATAAACTAGACAGAAGCATTCTGAGGCACTTCTTCGTGACGTGTGCATTCGTCTCACATAGTTGAAACTTTCTTTGGATTGAGCAGTTTTGAAACAGTCCTTTTGTAGGATCTGCAAGGGGATATTTCTGAGCCCCTTGTGTACTGTGATGCAATGTGAAGTATCTTCACATAAAAACTTCACAGAAGCTTTCTAAGAAACTTCGTTGTGATGTGTGCTTTCATCTCACAGAATTGAAACTATCCTTTGATTGAGGAGTTTGGAAACACTCTTTTTCTAGAATCTGCAAATGGATATTTGGAGAGCTTTTGAGGCCAGTGGTGAAAAACGAAATATCTTCACGTAAAAACTAAACAGAAGCTTTCTGAGAAACTCCCTTGCGATGTGTGCATTCACCTCACCGAGTGGAAACTTTCTTTTGATTGAGCAGATTGGAAAGAGGCTTATCGTACAATCTGCAAAGGGAGAATTCTGATCCGTTTGAGGCTTATGGTGAAAGAGAAATATCTTCCCATAAGAACTAGACGGAAGCATTCCAAGAAATTTTTTGTGATGTGTCCATTTACGTCACAGAGTTGAACCTCTCCTTTGATTGGGCAGTTTGGGAACAGTCTTTTTGTAGAACCTGCAGAGGGATATTTGTGAGCCCTTTATGGCCTGTGGTGAAATACGAAGTATCTTCACCTAAAAACTAGACAGAAGGTTTCTGAGAAACTTCTTGGTGATGTGTGCCTTCATCTCACAGTGTTGAACCCTTCTTTTGATTGAGCAGTTTGCAAAGTCTTTCTGTAGAATCTGCAAATGGATATTTGGAGATATTTGAGGCCCGTGGTGAAAAAGGAAGTATCTTCACCTAAAAACCAGACAGAAGATTTCTGAAAAACCTCTTTGTGATGTGTGAATTTATGTCACAGAATTCAACCTTTCTTTCAGTTGAGCAGTTTGGAAACAGTCTTTGGTAGAAGCTGCAGAGGGAAATTTCTTAGCTGCTTGAGGCCTATGGTGAAAAAGAAATATCTTCACAGAAAAACTAGACAGAAGCTTTCTGAGAAACTTCTTTGTGATGTGTCCATTCATCACACAGAGTGAAACCTTTCTTTTGATTGAGGAGTTTGGAAAATGTCTTTCCTTAGAATCTGCAAAGGGATATTTGTGAGCCCTTTATGGCCTTTGTTGAAATATGAAATATCTTCACATAAAAAGTAGACAGAAGCTTTCTGACAAATTCCTTGGTGATGTGCACGTTTGTCACACGGAATTGAACCCTTCTTCTGATTGAGCAGTTTGGAATCAGTCTTTTTGTAGAATCTGTGAATGTGTATTGAGAGAGTTTTAAGGCCTAGGGTGCCAAAGGCAATGTCTTCACATAAAAACGACACAGTAGCTTTTTGAGAAAACTCTTTGTGACATTTCCATTCATCTCTAATAGTTGACCATTTCCTTTCATTGAGCAGTTTGGAAGCAGTCTTTTTCTACAAACTGCAAAGGGATATTTCGGAGCGGTTTGGGGCCAACGGTGAAAAATAAATATCTTCCCATGAAAACTAGACAGAGAAGCATTTTGAGAAACTTCTTTTTGATGTGTGTATTCATCTCACAGAGTTGAACCTTTCTTTTGATTTAGCAATCTGGAGAATGTCTCTAGGTAGTATAAGTGGAGTTATGTTTGCGAGCGGTTTAAGTCCTATGGTGCCAAAGGAAATACCTTCACATAAAATGTAGACAGAAGCTTTCCGGGAAACTTCTTTGTGATGTGTGCTTTCGTCTCACAGAGTTGCGCCTTTCTTTTGATTGACCAGTTTGGGAACATTCTTTTTGTAGAATCTGCAAATGGATATTTGGAGCAATTTGTGGCCTACAGTGAAAAAGGAAATATCTTCACATAAAAACTAGACAGGAGAATCCTGAGGAACTCCTTTTTGATGAGTGCATTCATTTCACATAGTTGAAACATGCTATATGGGCCAGTTTGGAAACAGTCTTTTTGTAGAGTCTGCAGACAGGTATTTTAGAGTGGCTTAAAGACTATGGTGAAAAAGGAAACATCTTCACATAGCAACCAGACAGAAGCAACCTGAGAAACGTCTTTGGGATGTGTTCATTCATCTCACAATGTTGAACGTTTCTTTTGATTGAGAAGTTTTTAAGGAGAACTTTTGTAGAATCTGCAAAGGGATATATGTGAGCCCCTTGATTCCTATGGCAAAATAGGAATTATCTTGAGATAAAAGCGAGACAGAAGATTTCTGAGCAAACTTCTTTGTGATGTGTGCTTTCATCTCACAGAGTTGAAAATTTCTTTTGATTGAGCAGTTTGGAAACAGTCTTTTTGTATAATCTGCAAATGGATATTTGGAGCACTTTGTGGCCTAAGGTGAAAATGGAAATATCTTCACATAAAAACTAGACAGAAGAATTCTGAGGAACTTCTGTATGATGTGTGCATTCATCTCAGTATAGGTGAAATTTTCTTTTGATGGAGCAGTTTGGAAACAGTCTTTTTATAGTATCTGCAGAAGGATATTCGTGAGCGGTGTAAGGCCTATGGTGAAAAAGGAAATATCTTCACATTAAAACCAGACAGAAGCTTTCTGAGGAACTTCTTTGTGATGTGTGCATTCATCTCACCGTGTTGAAACTTTATGTTATTTGAGCAGTTTAGAGACAGTCTTTCTCTGCAATCTGCAAAGGTCTAACTCTGAGCCCTTTGAGGTCTATGGTGAAAAAGAAATGTCTTCACATTTAAACTAGACAGAAGCATTCTGAGGAACTTCTTTGTGATGTCTCCATTCATCTGAGAGAGTTGAAGGTTTCTTTTAATTCAGCACTTTGGAAAGCATATTTTTGTAGAATCTGCAAAGGGATATTTTTGAGACATTTGAAGCCTATAGTGAAATAGTAAATATCTTCACATGAAAACTAGACAGGAGAATTCTGAGAAACTTCATTCTGATATGTGCATTAACCTCACAGAATGTAACCTTTCTTTTGATTGAGAAGTATGGAAATGGTGGTCTTTTAGAATCTGGAAAGAGATATTTCTTAGCCCTTTGAGGCCTATGGTGAGACTGGAAATATCATCACATGAAAACTAGACCGAAGCTTTCGGAGAAACTTCTTTGAGATGTGTGCTTTCACCTCACAGAGTTAAACACTTTCTTTTAATTGAGCAGTTTGGAAACACTCTTTCTGTGACATCTGTAAATGGATATTAGGAGTGCTTTGAGGCCAATGGTGACAAAGGAAGTATCTTCACATAAAAACTACACAGAAGTTTTCTGAGAAACTACTTTTTGATGTGTCCATTAACCTAACAGAGTTAAAACTTTCTTTTTATTGAGCAGTTTGGATACAGTCCTTTTGTAGAATCTGCAAAACATATTTGTGAGCCCTTTATTGCCTATGGTGAAATAGGAATCTTCTTCACATATAAACTAGACAGAAGCATTCTGAGGAAGGTCTTCGTGACGTGTGCATTCGTGTCACATAGTTGAAGCTTTCTTTGGATTGAGCAGTTTTGAAACAGTCCTTTTCTAGGATCTGCAAGGGGATATTTCTGAGCCCATTGAGTACTGTGATGCAATGTGAAGTATCTTCACATAAAAACTAGACAGACGCTTTCTAAGAAACTTCGTTGTGATGTGTGCTTTCATCTCACAGAATTGAAACTATGCTTTGATTGAGGAGTTTGGAAACACTCTTTTTCTAGAATCTGCAAATGGATATTTGGAGAGCTTTTGAGGCCAGTGGTGAAAAACGAAATATCTTCACGTAAAAACTAAACAGAAGCTTTCTGAGAAACTCCCTTGCGATGTGTGCATTCACCTCACCCAGTGGAAACTTTCTTTTGATTGAGCAGATTGGAAAGAGGCTTATCGTACAATCTGCAAAGGGAGAATTCTGATCCGTTTGAGGCTTATGGTGAAAGAGAAATATCTTCCCATAAAAACTAGACGGAAGCATTCCAAGTAATTTTTTATGATGTGTCCATTCACGTCACAGAGTTGAACCTCTCCTTTGATTGAGCAGTTTGGAAACAGTCTTTTTGTAGAACCTGCAAAGGGATATTTGTGAGCCCTTTATGGCCTGTGGTGAAATACGAAGTATCTTCACCTAAAAACTAGACAGAAGGTTTCTGAGAAACTTCTTGGTGATGGGTGCCTTCATCTCACAGTGTTAAACCTTTCTTTTGATTGAGCAGTTTGCAACGTCTTTCTGTAGAATCTGCAAATGGATATTTGGAGATATTTGAGGCCCGTGGTGAAAAAGGAAGTATCTTCACCTAAAAAACAGACAGAAGATTTCTGAAAAACCTCTTTGTGATGTGTGAATTCATGTCACAGAATTCAACCTTTCTTTCAGGTGAGCAGTTTGGAAACAGTCTTTGGTAGAAGCTGCAGAGGGAAATTTTTTAGCTGCTTGAGGCCTATTGTGGAAAAGAAATATCTTCACAGAAAAACTAGACAGAAGCTTTCTGAGAAACTTCTTCGTGATGTGTCCATTCATCTCACAGAGTTAAACCTTTCTTTTGGTTGAGGAGTTTGGAAAACGTCTTTTCTTAGAATCTGCGAAGGGATATTTGTGAGTCCTTTATGGCCTTTGTTGAAATATGAAATATCTTCACATAAAAAGTAGACAGAAGCTTTCTGACAAATTCCTTGGTGATGTGCACGTTTGCCACACGGAATTGAACCCTTCTTCTGATTGAGCAGTTTGGAATCAGTCTTTTTGTAGAATCTGTGAATGTGTATTTAGAGAGTTTTAAGGCCTAGGGTGCCAAAGGCAATGTCTTCACATAAAAACGACACAGTAGCTTTTTGAGAAAACTCTCTGCGACATTTCCATTCATCTCTGATAGTTGACCATTTCCTTTCATTGAGCAGTTTGGAAGCAGTCTTTTTCTACAAACTGCAAAGGGATATTTCTGAGCGGTTTGGGGCCAACGGTGAAAAATAAATATCTTCCCATGAAAACTAGACAGAAGCATTTTGAGAAACTTCTTTTTGATGTGTGTATTCATCTCACAGAGTTGAACCTTTCTTTTGATTTAGCAATCTGGAGAAAGTCTCTAGGTAGTATAAGTGGAGTTATATTTGCGAGCGGTTTAAGGCCTATGGTGCCAAAGGAAATACCTTCACATAAAATGTAGACAGAGGCTTTCCGAGAAACTTTCTTTGTGATGTGTGCTTTCGTCTCACAGAGTTGCGCCTTTCTTTTGATTGACCAGTTTGGGAACATTCTTTTTGTAGAATCTGCAAATGGATATTTGGAGCAATTTGTGGCCTACGGTGAAAAAGGAAATATCTTCACATAAAAACTAGACAGGAGAATCCTGAGAAACTTCTTTTTGATGAGTGCATTCATTTCACATAGTTGAAACATGCTATATGGGCCAGTTTGGAATCAGTCTTACTGTAGAGTCCGCAGACAGGTATTTTTGAGTGGCTTAAAGACCATGGTGAAAAAGGAAACATCTTCACATAGCAACCAGACAGAAGCAACCTGAGAAACGTCTTTGGGATGTGTTCATTCATCTCACAATGTTGAACGTTTCTCTTGATTGAGAAGTTTGTAAGGAGAACATTTGTAGAATCTGCAAAGGGGTATATGTGAGCCCCTTGATTCCTATGGCAAAATAGGAATCATCTTGAGATAAAAGCGAGACAGAAGATTTCTGAGAAACTTTTTTGTGATGTGTGCTTTCATCTCACAGAGTTGAAAATTTCTCTTGATTGAGCAGTTTGGAAACAGTCTCTTCGTATCATCTGCAAACGGATGTTTGGGGCGCTTTGTGGCCTAAGGTGAAAATGGAAACATCTTCACATAAAAACTAGACAGAAGAATTCTGAGGAACTTCTTTATGATGTGTGCATTCATCTCAGATGGGTGAAATTTTCTTTTGATGGAGCAGTTTGGAAACAGTCTTTTTCTAGTATCTGCAGAAGGATATTTGTGAGCGGTGTAAGGCCTATGGTGAAAAAGGAAATATCTTCACATAAAAACCAGACAGAAGCTTTCTGAGGAACTTCTTTGTGAGGTGTGCATTTATCTCACCGTGTTGAAACTTTATTTTATTTGAGCAGTTTAGAGACAGTCTTTCTCTGCAATCTGCAAAGGTCTAATTCTGAGCCCTTTGAGGTCTATGGTGAAAAAGAAATGTCTTCACATTTAAACTAGACAGAAGCATTCTGAGGAACTTCGTTGTGATGCCTCCATTCATCTGACAGAGTTGAAGGTTTCTTTTAATTCAGCACTTTGGAAAGCATATTTTTGTAGAATCTGCAAAGGGATATTTTTGAGACATTTGAAGCCTATAGTGAAATAGTAAATATCTTCACATGAAAACTAGACAGGAGAATTCTGAGAAACTTCATTCTGATGTGTGCATTAACCTCACAGAATGTAACCTTTCTTTTGATTGAGAAGTATGGAAATGGTGGTCTTTTAGAATCTGGAAAGGGATATTTCTTACCCCTTTGAGGCCTATGGTGAGACTGGAAATATCATCACATGAAAACTAGACCGAAGCTTTCGGAGAAACTCCTTTGAGATGTGTGCTTTCACCTCACAGAGTTAAACACTTTCTTTTGATGGAGCAGTTTGGAAACACTCTTTCTGTGACATCTGTAAATGGATATTAGGAGTGCTTTGAGGCCAATGGTGACAAAGGAAGTATCTTCACAGAAAAACTACACAGAAGTTTTCTGAGAAACTACTTTTTGATGTGTCCATTAACCTAACAGAGTTAAAACTTTCTTTTTATTGAGCAGTTTGGATACAGTCTTTTTGTAGAATCTGCAAAACATATTTGTGAGCCCTTTATTGCCTATGGTGGAATAGGAATCTTCTTCACATATAAACTAGACAGAAGCATTCTGAGGAACTTCTTCGTGACGTGTGCATTCGTCTCACATAGTTGAAACTTTCTTTGGATTGAGCAGTTTTGAAACAGTCCTTTTGTAGGATCTGCAAGGGGATATTTCTGAGCCCATTGAGTACTGTGATGCAATGTGAAGTATCTTCACATAAAAACTGGACAGAAGCTTTCTAAGAAACTTCGTTGTGATGTGTGCTTTCATCTCACAGAATTGAAACTATCCTTTGATTGAGGAGTTTGGAAACACTCTTTTTCTAGGATCTGCAAATGGATATTTGGAGAGCTTTAGAGGCCCGTGGTGAAAAACGAAATATCTTCACGTAAAAACTAAACAGAAGCTTTCTGAGAAACTCCCTTGCGTTGTGTGCATTCACCTCACCGAGAGGAAACTTTCTTTTGATTGAGCAGATTGGAAAGAGGCTTATCGTACAATCTGCAAAGGGAGAATTCTGATCCGTTTGAGGCTTATGGTGAAAGAGAAATATCTTCCCATAAAAACTAGACGGAAGCATTCCAAGAAATTGTTTGTGATGTGTCCATTCACGTCACAGAGTTGAACCTCTCCTTTGATTGAGCAGTTTGGAAACAGTCTTTTTGTAGAACCTGCAAAGGGATATTTGTGAGCCCTTTATGGCCTGTGGTGAAATACGAAGTATCTTCACCTAAAAACTAGACAGAAGGTTTCTGAGAAACTTCTTGGTGATGTGTGCCTTCATCTCACAGTGTTGAACCTTTCTTTTGATTGAGCAGTTTGGAAAGTCTTTCTGTAGAATCTGCAAATGGATATTTGGAGATATTTGAGGCCCGTGGTGAAAAAGGAAGTATCGTCACCTAAAAACCAGACAGAAGATTTCTGAAAAACCTCTTTGTGATGTGTGAATTCATGTCACAGAATTCAACCTTTCTTTCAGTTGAGCAGTTTGGAAACAGTCTTTGGTAGAAGCTGCAGAGGGAAATTTCTTAGCTGCTTGAGGCCTATGGTGAAAAAGAAGTATCTTCACAGAAAAACTAGACAGAAGCTTTCTGAGAAACTTCTTCGTGATGTGTCCATTCATCTCACAGTGTTAAACCTTTCTTTTGAGTGAGGAGTTTGGAAAACGTCTTTTCTTAGAATCTGCGAAGGGATATTTGTGAGCCCTTTATGGCCTTTGTTGAAATATGAAATATCTTCACATAAAAAGTAGACAGAAGCTTTCTGACAAATTTCTTGGTGATGTGCACGTTTGTCACACGGAATTGAACCCTTCTTCTGATTGAGCAGTTTGGAATCAGTCTTTTTGTAGAATCTGTGAATGTGCATTTAGAGAGTTTTAAGGCCTAGTGTGCAAAAGGCAATGTCTTCACATAAAAACGACACAGTGGCTTTTTGAGAAAACTCTTTGTGACATTTCCATTCATCTCTAATAGTTGGCCATTTCCTTACATTGAGCAGTTTGGAAGCAGTCTTTTTCTACAAACTGCAAAGGGATATTTCTGAGCGGTTTGGGGCCAACGGTGAAAAATAAATATCTTCCCATGAAAACTAGACAGAAGCATTTTGAGAAACTTCTTTTTGATGTGTGTATTCATCTTACAGAGTTGAACCTTTCTTTTGATTTAGCAATTTGGAGAAAGTCTCTTGGTAGTATAAGTGGAGTTATATTTGCGAGCGGTTTAAGGCCTATGGTGCCAAAGGAAATACCTTCACATAAAATGCAGACAGAAGCTTTCTGAGAAACTTCTTTGTGATGTGTGCTTTCGTCTCACAGAGTTGAGCCTTTCTGTTGATTGACCAGTTTGGAAACATTCTTTCTGTAGAATCCGCAAATGGATATTTGGAGCAATTTGCGGCCTGCGGTGAAGAAGGAAATATCTTCACATAAAAACTAGACAGAAGAATCCTGAGAAACTTCTTTTTGATGAGTGCATTCATTTCACATAGTTGAAACATGCTATATGGGCCAGTTTGGAAACAGTCTTTTGGTAGAGTCTGCAGACAGATATTTTTGAGGGGCTTAAGGACTATGGTGAAAAAGGAAACATCTTCACATAGCAACCAGACAGAAGCAACCTGAGAAACGTCTTTGGGATGTGTTCATTCACTTCACAATGATGAACGTTTCTTTTGATTGAGAAGTTTGTAAGGATAACTTTTGTAGAATCTGCAAAGGGATATATGTGAGCCCCTTGATTCCTATGGCAAAATAGGAATTATCTTGAGATAAAAGCCAGACAGAAGATTTCTGAGAAACTTTTTTGTGATGTGTACTTTCATCTCACAGAGTTGAAAAATTCTTTTGATTGAGCAGTTTGGAAACAGTCTTTTCGTATCATCTGCAAATGGATGTTTGGGGCGCTTTGTGGCCTAAGGTGAAAATGGAAACACCTTCACATAAAAACTAGACAGAAGAATTCTGAGGAACCTCTTTATGATGTGTGCATTCATCTCAGATGGGTGAAATTTTCTTTTGATGGAGCAGTTTGGAAACAGTCTTTTTCTAGTATCTGCAGAAGGATATTTGTGAGCGGTGTAAGGCCTATGGTGAAAAAGGAAATATCTTCACATAAAAAACAGACAGAAGCTTTCTGAGGAACTTTTTGTGAGGTGTGCATTCATCTCACCGTGTTGAAACTTTATTTTATTTGAGCAGTTTAGAGACAGTCTTTCTCTGCAATCTGCAAAGGTCTAATTCTGAGCCCTTTGAGGTCTATGGTGAAAAAGAAATATCTTCCCATTTAAACTAGACAGAAGCATTCTGAGGAACTTCGTTGTGATGCCTCTCCATTCATCGGACAGAGTTGAAGGTTTCTTTTAATTCAGCACTTTGGAAAGCATATTTTTGTAGAATCTGCAAAGGGATATTTTTGAGACATTTGAAGCCTAGAGTGAAATAGTAAATATCTTCCCATGAAAACTAGACAGGAGAATTCTGAGAAACTTCATTCTGATGTGTGCATTAACCTCACAGAATTTAACCTTTCTTTTGATTGAGAAGTATGGAAATGGTGGTCTTTTAGAACCTGGAAAGGGATATTTCTTAGCCCTTTGAGGCCTATGGTGAGACTGGAAATATCATCACATGAAAACTAGTCCGAAGCTTTCGGAGAAACTTCTTTGAGATGTGTGCTTTCACCTCACAGAGTTAATCACTTTCTTTTGATTGAGCAGTTTGGAAACACTCTTTCTGTGACATCTGTAAATGGATATTAGGAGTGCTTTGAGGCCAATGGTGACAAAGGAAATATCTTCACATAAAAACTACACAGAAGTTTTCTGAGAAACTACTTTTTGATGTGTCCATTAACCTAAAAGAGTTAAAACTTTCTTTTTATTGAGCAGTTTGGATACAGTCCTTTTGTAGAATCTGCAAAACATATTTGTGAGCCCTTTATTGCCTATGGTGAAATAGGAATCTTCTTCACATATAAACTAGACAGAAGCATTCTGAGGAACGTCTTCGTGACGTGTGCATTCATCTCACATAGTTGAAACTTTCTTTGGATTGAGCAGTTTTGAAACAGTCCTTTTGTAGGATCTGCAAGGGGATATTTCTGAGCCCATTGAGTACTGTGATGCAATGTGAAGTATCTTCACATAAAAACTACACAGACGCTTTCTAAGAAACTTCGTTGTGATGTGTGCTTTCATCTCACAGAATTGAAACTATCGTTTGATTGAGGAGTTTGGAAACACTCTTTTTCTAGAATCTGCAAATGGATATTTGGAGAGCTTTTGAGGCCCGTGGTGAAAAACGAAATATCTTCACGTAAAAACTAAACAGAAGCTTTCTGAGAAACTCCCTTGCGATGTGTGCATTCACCTCACCGAGTGGAAACTTTCTTTTGATTGAGCAGATTGGAAAGAGGCTTATCGTACAACCTGCAAAGGGAGAATTCTGATCCGTTTGAGGCTTATGGTGAAAGAGAAATATCTTCCCATAAAAACTAGACGGAAGCATTCCAAGAAATTTTTTGTGATGTGTCCATTCACGTCACAGAGTTGAACCTCTCCTTTGATTGAGCAGTTTGGAAACAGTCTTTTTGTAGAACCTGCAAAGGGATATTTGTGAGCCCTTTATGGCCTGTGGTGAAATACGAAGTATCTTCACCTAAAAACTAGACAGAAGGTTTCTGAGAACCTTCTTGGTGATGTGTGCCTTCATCTCACAGTGTTGAACCTTTCTTTTGATTGAGCAGTTTGCAAAGTCTTTCTGTAGAATCTGCAAATGGATATTTGGAAATATTTGAGGCCCGTGGTGAAAAAGGAAGTATCTTCACCTAAAAACCAGACAGAAGATTTCTGAAAAACCTCTTTGTGATGTGTGAATTCATGTCACAGAATTCAACCTTTCTTTCAGGTGAGCAGTTTGGAAACAGTCTTTGGTAGAAGCTGCAGAGGGAAATTTCTTAGCTGCTTGAGGCCTATGGTGAAAAAGAAATATCTTCACAGAAAAACTAGACAGAAGCTTTCTGAGAAACTTCTTCGTGATGTGTCCATTCATCTCACAGAGTTAAACCTTTCTTTTGATTGAGGAGTTTGGAAAATGTCTTTTCTTAGAATCTGCGAAGGGATATTTGTGAGCCCTTTATGGCCTTTGTTGAAATATGAAATATCTTCACATAAAAAGTAGACAGAAGCTTTCTGACAAATTCCTTGGTGATGTGCACGTTTGTCACACGGAATTGAACCCTTCTTCTGATTGAGCAGTTTGGAATCAGTCTCTTTGTAGAATCTGTGAATGTGTATATAGAGAGTTTTAAGGCCTAGGGTGCCAAAGGCAATGTCTTCACATAAAAACGACACAGTAGCTTTTTGAGAAAACTCTTTGTGACATTTCCATTCATCTCTAATAGTTGACCATTTCCTTTCATTGAGCAGTTTGGAAGCAGTCTTTTTCTACAAACTGCAAAGGGATATTTCGGAGCGGTTTGGGGACAACGGTGAAAAATAAATATCTTCCCATGAAAACTAGACAGAAGCATTTTGAGAAACTTCTTTTTGATGTGTGTATTCATCTCACAGAGTTGAACCTTTCTTTTGATTTAGCAATTTGGAGAAAGTCTCTTGGTAGTATAAGTGGAGTCATATTTGTGAGCGGTTTAAGGCCTATGGTGCCAAAGGAAATACCTTTACATAAAATGTAGACAGAAGCTTTCCGAGAAACTCCTTTGTGATGTGTGCTTTCGTCTCACAGGGTTGCGCCTTTCTTTTGATTGACCAGTTTGGGAACATTCTTTTTGTAGAATCTGCAAATGGATATTTGGAGCAATTTGTGGCCTACGGTGAAAAAGGAAATATCTTCACATAAAAACTAGACCGGAGAATCCTGAGAAACTTCTTTTTGATGAGTGCATTCATTTCACATAGTTGAAACATGCTATGTGGGCCAGTTTGGAAACAGTCTTTTGGTAGAGTCTGCAGACAGATATTTTTGAGTGGCTTAAAGACTATGGTGAAAAAGGAAACATCTTCACATAGCAACCTGACAGAAGCAACTTGAGAAACGTCTTTGGGATGTGTTCATTCATCTCACAATGTTGAACGTTTCTCTTGATTGAGAAGTTTGTAAGGAGAACATTTGTAGAATCTGCAAAGGGGTATATGTGAGCCCCTTGATTCCTATGGCAAAATAGGAATCATCTTGAGATAAAAGCGAGACAGAAGATTTCTGAGAAACTTTTCGTGATGTGTGCTTTCATCTCACAGAGTTGAAAATTTCTTTTGATTGAGCAGTTTGGAAACAGTCTTTTCGTATCATCTGCAAACGGATGTTTGGAGCGCTTTGTGGCCTAAGGTGAAAATGGAAACATCTTCACATAAAAACTAGACAGAAGAATTCTGAGGAACTTCTGTATGATGTGTGCATTCATCTCAGATAGGTGAAATTTTCTTTTGATGGAGCAGTTTGGAAACAGTCTTTTTATAGTATCTGCAGAAGGATATTCGTGAGCGGTGTAAGGCCTATGGTGAAAAAGGAAATATCTTCACATTAAAACCAGACAGAAGCTTTCTGAGGAACTTCTTTGTGATGTGTGCATTCATCTCACCGTGTTGAAACTTTATTTTATTTGAGCAGTTTAGAGACAGTCTTTCTCTGCAATCTGCAAAGGTCTAATTCTGAGCCCTTTGAGGTCTATGGTGAAAAAGAAATATCTTCACATTTAAACTAGACAGAAGCATTCTGAGGAACTTCGTTGTGATGCCTCCATTCATCTGACAGAGTTGAAGGTTTCTTCTAATTCAGCACTTTGGAAAGCATATTTTTGTAGAATCTGCAAAGGGATATTTTTTAGACTTTTGAAGCCTATAGTGAAATAGTAAATATCTTCCCATGAAAACTAGACAGGAGAATTCTGAGAAACTTCATTCTGACGTGGGCATTAACCTCAGAGAATTTAACCTTTCTTTTGATTGAGAAGTATGGAAACGGTCGTCTTTTAGAATCTGGAAAGGGATATTTCTTAGCCCTTTGAGGCCTACGGTGAAACTGGAAATATCTTCACATGAAAAGTAGACCGAAGCTTTCGGACAAACTTCTTTGAGATGTGTGCTTTCACCTCACAGAGTTAAACACTTTCTTTTGATTGAGCAGTTTGGAAACACTCTTTCTGTGACATCTGTAAATGGATATTAGGAGTGCTTTGAGGCCAATGGTGACAAAGGAAGTATCTTCACATAAAAACTACACAGAAGTTTTCTGAGAAACTACTTGTTGATGTGTCCATTGATGTAACAGAGTTAAAACTTTCTTTTTATTGAGCAGTTTGGATACAGTCTTTTTGTAGAATCTGCAAAAATATTTGTGAGCCCTTTATTGCCTATGGTGAAATAGGAATCTTCTTCACATGTAAACAAGACAGAAGCATTCTGAGGAAGGTCTTCATGACGTGTGCATTCGTGTCACATAGTTGAAGCTTTCTTTGGATTGAGCAGTTTTGAAACAGTCCTTTTGTAGGATCTGCAAGGGGATATTTCTGAGCCCATTGAGTACTGTGATGCAATGTGAAGTATCTTCACATAAAAACTAGACAGATGCTTTCTAAGAAACTTCGTTGTGATGTGTGCTTTCATCGCACAGAATTGAAGCTATCCTTTGATTGAGGCGATTGGAAACACTCTTTTTCTAGAATCTGCAAATGGATATTTGGAGAGCTTTTGAGGCCCGTGGTGAAAAACGAAATATCTTCACGTAAAAACTAAACAGAAGCTTTCTGAGAAACTCCCTTGCGATGTGTGCATTCACCTCACCGAGTGGAAACTTTCTTTTGATTGAGCAGATTGGAAAGAGGCTTATCGTACAATCTGCAGAGGGAGAATTCTGATCCGTTTGAGGCTTATGGTGAAAGAGAAATATCTTCCCATAAGAACTAGACGGAAGCATTCTAAGAAATTTTTTGTGATGTGTCCATTCACGTCACAGAGTTGAACCTCTCCTTTGATTGGGCAGTTTGGAAACAGTCTTTTTGTAGAACCTGCAAAGGGATATTTGTGAGCCCTTTATGGCCTGTGGTGAAATACGAAGTATCTTCACCTAAAAACTAGACAGAAGGTTTCTGAGAAACTTCTTGGTGATGTGTGCCTTCATCTCACAGTGTTGAACCTTTCTTTTGATTGAGCAGTTTGGAAAGTCTTTCTGTAGAATCTGCAAATGGATATTTGGAGATATTTGAGGCCCGTGCTGAAAAAGGAAGTATCGTCACCTAAAAACCAGACAGAAGATTTCTGGAAAACCTCTTTGTGATGTGTGAATTCATGTCACAGAATTCAACCTTTCTTTCAGTTGAGCAGTTTGGAAACAGTCTTTGGTAGAAGCTGCAGAGGGAAATTTCTTAGCTGCTTGAGGCCTATGGTGAAAAAGAAATATCTTCACAGAAAAACTAGACAGAAGCTTTCTGAGAAACTTCTTCATGATGTGTCCATTCATCACACAGAGTTAAACCTTTCTTTTGATTGAGGAGTTTGGAAAACGTCTTTTCTTAGAATCTGCGAAAGGATATTTGTGAGCCCTTTATGGCCTTTGTTGAAATATGAAATATCTTCACATAAAAAGTAGACAGAAGCTTTCTGACAAATTCCTTGGTGATGTGCACGTTTGTCACACGGAATTGAACCCTTCTTCTGATTGAGCAGTTTGGAATCAGTCTTTTTGTAGAATCTGTGAATGTGTATTTAGAGAGTTTTAAGGCCTAGGGTGCCAAAGGCAATGTCTTCACATAAAAACGACACAGTAGCTTTTTGAGAAAACTCTTTGTGACATTTCCATTCATCTCTAATAGTTGGCCATTTCCTTTCATTGAGCAGTTTGGAAGCAGTCTTTTTCTACAAACTGCAAAGGGATATTTCTGAGCGGTTTGGGGCCAACGGTGAAAAATAAACATCTTCCCATGAAAACTAGACAGAAGCATTTTGAGAAACTTCTTTTTGATGTGTGTATTCATCTCACAGAGTTGAACCTTTCTTTTGATTTAGCAATTTGGAGAAAGTCTCTTGGTAGTATAAGTGGAGTCATATTTGCGAGCGGTTTAAGGCCTATGGTGCCAAAGGAAATACCTTCACATAAAATGCAGACAGAAGCTTTCCGAGAAACTTCTTTGTGATGTGTGCTTTCGTCTCACAGAGTTGCGCCTTTCTTTTCATTGACCAGTTTGGGAACATTCTTTTCGTACAATCTGCAAATGGATATTTGGAGCAATTTGTGGCCTTCGGTGAAAAAGGAAATATCTTCACATGAAAACTAGACAGGGAGACTCCTGAGAAACTTCTTTTTGATGAGTGCATTCATTTCACATAGTTGAAACATGCCATATGGGCCAGTTTGGAAACAGTCTTTTTGTAGAGTCTGCAGACAGATATTTTTGAGTGGCTTAAAGACTATGGTGAAAAAGGAAACATCTTCACATAGCAACCAGACAGAAGCAACCTGAGAAACGTCTTTGGGATGTGTTCATTCATCTCACAATGTTGAACGTTTCTTTTGATTGAGAAGTTTGTAAGGAGAACATTTGTAGAATCTGCAAAGGGGTATATGTGAGCCCCTTGTTTCCTATGGCAAAATAGGAATTATCTTGAGATAAAAGCGAGACAGAAGATTTCTGAGAAACTTTTTTGTGATGTGTGCTTTCATCTCACAGAGTTGAAAATTTCTCTTGATTGAGCAGTTTGGAAACAGTCTTTTCGTATCATCTGCAAACGGATGTTTGGGGCGCTTTGTGGCCTAAGGTGAAAATGGAAACATCTTCACATAAAAACTAGACAGAAGAATTCTGAGGAACTTCTTTATGATGTGTGCATTCATCTCAGATAGGTGAAATTTTCTTTTGATGGAGCAGTTTGGAAACCGTCTTTTTATAGTATCTGCAGAAGGATATTTGTGAGCGGTGTAAGGCCTATGGTGAAAAAGGAAATATCTTCACATAAAAACCAGACAGAAGCTTTCTGAGGAACTTCTTTGTGATGTGTGCATTCATCTCACCGTGTTGAAACTTTATTTTATTTGAGCAGTTTAGAGACAGTCTTTCTCTGCAATCTGCAAAGGTCTAATTCTGAGCCCTTTGAGGTCTATGGTGAAAAAGAAATGTCTTCACATTTCAACTAGACAGAAGCATTCTGAGGATCTTCGTTGTGATGCCTCTCCATTCATCTGACAGAGTTGAAGGGTTCTTTTAATTCAGCACTTTGGAAAGCATATTTTTGTAGAATCTGCAAAGGGATATTTTTGAGACATTTGAAGCCTATAGTGAAATAGTAAATATCTTCACATGGAAACTAGACAGGAGAATTCTGAGAAACTTCCTTCTGATGTGTGCATTAACCTCACAGAATTTAACCTTTCTTTTGATTGAGAAGTATGGAAATGGTGGTCTTTTAGAACCTGGAAAGGGATATTTCTTAGCCCTTTGAGGCCTATGGTGAGACTGGAAATACCATCACATGAAAACTAGTCCGAAGCTTTCGGAGAAACTTCTTTGAGATGTGTGCTTTCACCTCACAGAGTAAAACACTATCTTTTGATTGAGCAGTTTGGAAACACTCTTTCTGTGACATCTGTAAATGGATATTAGGAGTGCTTTGAGGCCAATGGTGACAAAGGAAGTATCTTCACATAAAAACTACACAGAAGTTTTCTGAGAAACTACTTGTTGATGTGTCCATTGATGTAACAGAGTTAAAACTTTCTTTTTATTGAGCAGTTTGGATACAGTCTTTTTGTAGAATCTGCAAAAAATATTTGTGAGCCCTTTATTGCCTATGGTGAAATAGGAATCTTCTTCACATGTAAACAAGACAGAAGCATTCTGAGGAACTTCTTCGTGACGTGTGCATTCATCTCACATAGTTGAAACTTTCTTTGGATTGAGCAGTTTTGAAACAGTCCTTTTGTAGGATCTGCAAGGGGATATTTCTGAGCCCATTGAGTACTGTGATGCAATGTGAAGTATCTTCACATAAAAACTAGACAGACGCTTTCTAAGAAACTTCGTTGTGATGTGTGCTTTCATCTCACAGAATTGAAACTATCCTTTGATTGAGGAGTTTGGAAACACTCTTTTTCTAGAATCTGCAAATGGATATTTGGAGAGCTTTTGAGGCCCGTGGTGAAAAGCGAAATATCTTCACGTAAAAACTAAACAGAAGCTTTCTGAGAAACTCCCTTGTGATGTGTGCATTCACCTAACCGAGTGGAAACTTTCTCTTGATTGAGCAGATTGGAAAGAGGCTTATTGTACAATCTGCAAAGGGAGAATTCTGATCCGTTTGAGGCTTATGGTGAAAGAGAAATATCTTCCCATAAGAACTAGACGGAAGCATTCCAAGAAATTGTTTGTGATGTGTCCATTCACGTCACAGAGTTGAACCTCTCCTTTGATTGATCAGTTTGGAAACAGTCTTTTTGTAGAACCTGCAGAGGGATATTTGTGAGCCCTTTATGGCCTGTGGTGAAATACGAAGTATCTTCACCTAAAAACTAGACAGAAGGTTTCTGAGAAACTTCTTGGTGATGTGTGCCTTCATCTCACAGTGTTGAACCTTTCTTTTGATTGAGCAGTTTGGAAAGTCTCTCTGTAGAATCTGCAAATGGATATTTGGAGATATTTGAGGCCCGTGCTGAAAAAGGAAGTATCGTCACCTAAAAACCAGACAGAAGATTTCTGAAAAACCTCTTTGTGATGTGTGAATTCATGTCACAGAATTCAACCTTTCTTTCAGGTGAGCAGTTTGGAAACAGTCTTTGGTAGAAGCTGCAGAGGGAAATTTCTTAGCTGCTTGAGGCCTATGGTGAAAAAGAAATATCTTCAAAGAAAAACTAGACAGAAGCTTTCTGAGAAACTTCTTCGTGATGTGTCCATTCATCTCACAGAGTTAAACCTTTCTTTTGATTGAGGAGTTTGCAAAACGTCTTTTCTTAGAATCTGCGAAGGGATATTTGTGAGCCCTTTTTGGCCTTTGTTGAAATATGAAATATCTTCACATAAAAAGTAGACAGAAGCTTTCTGACAAATTTCTTGGTGATGTGCACGTTTGTCACACGGAATTGAACCCTTCTTCTGATTGAGCAGTTTGGAATCAGTCTTTTTGTAGAATCTGTGAATGTGCATTTAGAGAGTTTTAAGGCCTAGGGTGCCAAAGGCAATGTCTTCACATGAAAACGACACAGTAGCTTTTTGAGAAAACTGTTTGTGACATTTCCATTCATCTCTAATAGTTGACCATTTCCTTTCATTGAGCAGTTTGGAAGCAGTCTTTTTCTACAAACTGCAAAGGGATATTTCTGAGCGGTTTGGGGCCAACGGTGAAAAATAAATATCTTCCCATGAAAACTAGACAGAAGCATTTTGAGGAACTTCTTTTTGATGTGTGTATTCATCTCACAGAGTTGAACCTTTCTTTTGATTTAGCAATCTGGAGAAAGTCTCTAGGTAGTATAAGTGGAGTTATATTTGCGAGCGGTTTAAGGCCTATGGTGCCAAAGGAAATACCTTCACATAAAATGTAGACAGAAGCTTTCCGGGAAACTTCTTTGTGATGTGTGCTTTCATCTCACAGAGTTGCGCCTTTCTTTTGATTGACCAGTTTGGGAACATTCTTTTTGTAGAATCTGCAAATGGATATTTGGAGCAATTTGTGGCCTACGGTGAAAAAGGAAATATCTTCACATAAAAACTAGACAGGAGAATCCTGAGAACCTTCTTTTTGATGAGTGCATTCATTTCACATCGTTGAAACATGCTATATGGGCCAGTTTGGAAACAGTCTTTTTGTGGAGTCTGCAGACAGATATTTTTGAGTGGCTAAAAGACTATGGTGAAAAAGGAAACATCTTCACATAGCAACCAGACAGAAGCAACCCTGAGAAACTTCTTTGGGATGTGTTCATTCATCTCCCAATGTTGAACGTTTCTTTTGATTGAGAAGTTTGTAAAGAGAACTTTTGTAGAATCCGCAAAGGGATATATGTGAGCCCCTTGATTCCTATGGCAAAATAGGAATTATCTTGAGATAAAAGCGAGACAGAAGGTTTCTGAGAAACTTTTTTGTGATGTGTGCTTTCATCTCACAGAGTTGAAAATTTCTTTTGATTGAGCAGTTTGGAAACAGTCTTTTCGTATCATCTGCAAATGGATGTTTGGGGCGCTTTGTGGCCTAAGGTGAAAATGGAAACACCTTCACATAAAAACTAGACAGAAGAATTCTGAGGAACTTCTTTATGATGTGTGCATTCATCTCAGATAGGTGAAATTTTCTTTTGATGGAGCAGTTTGGAAACCGTCTTTTTATAGTATCTGCAGAAGGATATTCGTGAGCGGTGTAAGGCCTATGGTGAAAAAGGAAATATCTTCACATAAAAACCAGACAGAAGCCTTCTGAGGAACTTCTTTGTGATGTGTGCGTTCATCTCACCGTGTTGAAACTTTATTTTATTTGAGCAGTTTAGAGACAGTCTTTCTCTGCAATCTGCAAAGGTCTAACTCTGAGCCCTTTGAGGTCTATGGTGAAAAAGAAATGTCTTCACATTTAAACTAGACAGAAGCATTCTGAGGAACTTCTTCGTGATGTCTCCATTCACCTGACAGAGTTGAAGGTTTCTTTTAATTCAGCACTTTGGAAAGCATATTTTTGTAGAATCTGCAAAGGGATATTTTTGAGATATTTGAAGCCTATAGTGAAATAGTAAATATCTTCACATGAAAACTAGACAGGAGAATTCTGAGAAACTTCATTCTGACGTGGACATTAACCTCAGAGTATTTAACCTTTCTTTTGATTGAGAAGTATGGAAACGGTCGTCTTTTAGAATCTGGAAAGGGATATTTCTTAGCCCTTTGAGGCCTACGGTGAAACTGGAAATATCTTCACATGAAAAGTAGACCGAAGCTTTCGGAGAAACTTCTTTGAGATGTGTGCTTTCACCTCACAGAGTTAAACACTTTCTTTTGATTGAGCAGTTTGGAAACACTCTTTCTGTGACATCTGTAAATGGATATTAGGAGTGCTTTGAGGCCAATGGTGACAAAGGAAGTATCTTCACATAAAAAGTACACAGAAGTTTTCTGAGAAACTACTTGTTGATGTGTCCATTAATGTAACAGAGTTAAAACTTTCTTTTTATTGAGCAGTTTGGATACAGTATTTTTGGAGAATCTCACAAAAAATATTTGTGAGCCCTTTATTGCCTATGGTGAAATAGGAATCTTCTTCACATGTAAACAAGACAGAAGCATTCTGAGGAACGTCTTCGTGACGTGTGCATTCATCTCACATAGTTGAAACTTTCTTTGGATTGAGCAGTTTTGAATCAGTCCTTTTGTAGGATCTGCAAGGGGATATTTCTGAGCCCATTGAGTACTGTGATGCAATGTGAAGTATCTTCACATAAAAACTACACAGAAGCTTTCTAAGAAACTTCGTTGTGATGTGTGCTTTCATCTCACAGAATTGAAACTATCCTTTGATTGAGGAGTTTGGAAACACTCTTTTTCTAGAATCTGCAAATGGATATTTGGAGAGCTTTAGAGGCCCGTGGTGAAAAACGAAATATCTTCACGTAAAAACTAAACAGAAGCTTTGTGAGAAACTCCCTTGCGATGTGTGCATTCACCTCACCGAGTGGAAACTTTCTTTTGATTGAGCAGATTGGAAAGAGGCTTATCGTACAATCTGCAAAGGGAGAATTCTGATCCGTTTGAGGCTTATGGTGAAAGAGAAATATCTTCCCATAAGAACTAGACGGAAGCATTCCAAGAAATTGTTTGTGATGTGTCCATTCACGTCACAGAGTTGAACCTCTCCTTTGATTGATCAGTTTGGAAACAGTCTTTTTGTAGAACCTGCAAAGGGATATTTGTGAGCCCTTTATGGCCTGTGGTGAAATACGAAGTATCTTCACCTAAAAACTAGACAGAAGATTTCTGAGAAACTTCTTGGTGATGTGTGCCTTCATCTCACAGTGTTGAACCTTTCTTTTGATTGAGCAGTTTGGAAAGTCTTTCTGTAGAATCTGCAAATGGATATTTGGAGATATTTGAGGCCCGTGGTGAAAAAGGAAGTATCTTCACCTAAAAACCAGACAGGAGATTTCTGAAAAACCTCTTTGTGATGTGTGAATTCATGTCACAGAATTCAACCTTTCTTTCAGTTGAGCAGTTTGGAAACAGTCTTTGGTAGAAGCTGCAGAGGGAAATTTCTTAGCTGCTTGAGGCCTATGGTGAAAAAGAAATATCTTCACAGAAAAACTAGACAGAAGCTTTCTGAGAAACTTCTTCGTGATGTGTCCATTCATCTCACAGTGTTAAACCTTTCTTTTGATTGAGGAGTTTGGCAAACGTCTTTTCTTAGAATCTGCGAAGGGATATTTGTGAGCCCTTTATGGCCTTTGTTGAAATATGAAATATCTTCACATAAAAAGTAGACAGAAGCTTTCTGACAAATTCCTTGGTGATGTGCACGTTTGCCACACGGAATTGAACCCTTCTTCTGATTGAGCAGTTTGGAATCAGTCTTTTTGTAGAATCTGTGAATGTGTATTGAGAGAGTTTTAAGGCCTAGGGTGCCAAAGGCAATGTCTTCACATAAAAACGACACAGTAGCTTTTTGAGAAAACTCTTTGTGACATTTCCATTCATCTCTAATAGTTGGCCATTTCCTTTCATTGAGCAGTTTGGAAGCAGTCTTTTTCTACAAACTGCAAAGGGATATTTCTGAGCGGTTTGGGGCCAACGGTGAAAAATAAATATCTTCCCATGAAAACTAGACAGAAGCATTTTGAGAAACTTCTTTTTGATGTGTGTATTCATCTCACAGAGTTGAACCTTTCTTTTGATTTAGCAATCTGGAGAAAGTCTCTAGGTCGTTTAATTGGAGTTATATTTGCGAGCGGTTTAAGGCCTATGGTGCCAAAGGAAATACGTTCACATAAAATGTAGACAGAAGCTTTCCGAGAAACTCCTTTGTGATGTGTGCTTTCGTCTCACAGAGTTGCGCCTTTCTTTTGATTGACCAGTTTGGGAACATTCTTTTTGTAGAATCTGCAAATGGATATTTGGAGCAATTTGTGGCCTACGGTGAAAAAGGAAATATCTTCACATAAAAACTAGACAGGAGAATCCTGAGAAACTTCTTTTTGATGAGTGCATTCATTTCACATAGTTGAAACATGCTATATGGGCCAGTTTGGAAACAGTCTTTTGGTAGAGTCTGCAGACAGATATTTTTGAGTGGCTTAAAGACTATGGTGAAAAAGGAAACATCTTCACATAGCAACCAGACAGAAGCAACCTGAGAAACTTCTTTGGGATGTGTTCATTCATCTCCCAATGTTGAACGTTTCTTTTGATTGAGAAGTTTGTAAAGAGAACTTTTGTAGAATCCGCAAAGGGATATATGTGAGCCCCCTGATTCCTATGGCAAAATAGGAATTATCTTGAGATAAAAGCGAGACAGAAGATTTCTGAGAAACTTTTTTGTGATGTGTGCTTTCATCTCACAGAGTTGAAAATTTCTTTTGATTGAGCAGTTTGGAAACAGTCTTTTCGTATCATCTGCAAACGGATGTTTGGAACGCTTTGTGGCCTAAGGTGAAAATGGAAACATTCTTCACATAAAAACTAGACAGAAGAATTCTGAGGAACTTCTTTATGATGTGTGCATTCATCTCAGATGGGTGAAATTTTCTTTTGATGGAGCAGTTTGGAAACCGTCTTTTTCTAGTATCTGCAAAAGGATATTTGTGAGCGGTGTAAGGCCTATGGTGGAAAAGGAAATATCTTCACATAAAAACCAGACAGAAGCTTTCTGAGGAACTTCTTTGTGAGGTGTGCATTCATCTCACCGTGTTGAAACTTTATTTTATTTGAGCAGTTTAGAGACAGTCTTTCTCTGCAATCTGCAAAGGTCTAATTCTGAGCCCTTTGAGGTCTATGGTGAAAAAGAAATGTCTTCACATTTCAACTAGACAGAAGCATTCTGAGGAACTTCTTTGTGATGTCTCCATTCATCTGACAGAGTTGAAGGTTTCTTTTAATTCAGCACTTTGGAAAGCATATTTTTGTAGAATCTGCAAAGGGATATTTTTGAGACATTTGAAGCCTATAGTGAAATAGTAAATATCTTCCCATGAAAACTAGACAGGAGAATTCTGAGAAACTTCATTCTGATGTGTGCATTAACCTCACAGAATTTAACCTTTCCTTTGATTGAGAAGTATGGAAATGGTGGTCTTTTAGAATCTGGAAATGGATATTTCTTAGCCCTTTGAGGCCTATGGTGAGACTGGAAATATCATCACATGAAAACTAGACCGAAGCTTTCGGAGAAACTTCTTTGAGATGTGTGCTTTCACCTCACAGAGTTAAACACTTTCTTTTGATTGAGCAGTTTGGAAACACTCTTTCTGTGACATCTGTAAATGGATATTAGGAGTGCTTTGAGGCCAATGGTGACAAAGGAAGTATCTTCACATAAAAACTACACAGAAGTTTTCTGAGAAACTACCTTTCGATGTGTCCATTAATCAAACAGAGTTAAAACTTTATTTTTATTGAGCAGTTTGGATACAGTCTTTTTGTAGAATCTGCAAAACATATTTGTGAGCCCTTTATTGCCTATGGTGGAATAGGAATCTTCTTCACATATAAACTAGACAGAAGCATTCTGAGGCACTTCTTCGTGACGTGTGCATTCGTCTCACATAGTTGAAACTTTCTTTGGATTGAGCAGTTTTGAAACAGTCCTTTTGTAGGATCTGCAAGGGGATATTTCTGAGCCCCTTGAGTACTGTGATGCAATGTGAAGTATCTTCACATAAAAACTTCACAGAGGCTTTCTAAGAAACTTCGTTGTGATGTCTGCTTTCCTCTCACAGAATTGAAACTATCCTTTGATTGAGGAGTTTGGAAACACTCTTTTTCTAGAATCTGCAAATGGATATTTGGAGAGCTTTTGAGGCCCGTGGTGAAAAACGAAATACCTTCACGTAAAAACTAAACAGAAGCTTTCTGAGAAACTCCCTTGCGATGTGTGCATTCACCTCACCGAGTGGAAACTTTCTTTTGATTGAGCAGATTGGAAAGAGGCTTATTGTACAATCTGCAAAGGGAGAATTCTGATCCGTTTGAGGCTTATGGTGAAAGAGAAATATCTTCCCATAAGAACTAGACGGAAGCATTCCAAGAAATTTTTTATGATGTGTCCATTCACGTCACAGAGTTGAACCTCTCCTTTGATTGAGCAGTTTGGAAACAGTCTTTTTGTAGAACCTGCAAAGGGATATTTGTGAGCCCTTTATGGCCTGTGGTGAAATACGAAGTATCTTCACCTAAAAACTAGACAGAAAGTTTCTGAGAAATTTCTTGGTGATGTGTGCCTTCATCTCACAGTGTTGAACCTTTCTTTTGATTGAGCAGTTTGGAAAGTCTTTCTGTAGAATCTGCAAATGGATATTTGGAGATATTTGAGGCCCGTGCTGAAAAAGGAAGTATCGCCACCTAAAAACCAGACAGAAGATTTCTGAAAAACCTCTTTGTGATGTGTGAATTCATGTCACAGAATTCAACCTTTCTTTCAGGTGAGCAGTTTGGAAACAGTCTTTGGTAGAAGCTGCAGAGAGAAATTTCTTAGCTGCTTGAGGCCTATGGTGAAAAAGAAATATCGTCACAGAAAAACTAGACAGAAGCTTTCTGAGAAACTTCTTCGTGATGTGTCCATTCATCTCACAGAGTTAAAACTTTCTTTTGATTGAGGAGTTTGGAAAACGTCTTTTCTTAGAATCTGCGAAGGGATATTTGTGAGCCCTTTATGGCCTTTGTTGAAATATGAAATATCTTCACATAAAAAGTAGACAGAAGCTTTCTGACAAATTTCTTGGTGATGTGCACGTTTGTCACACGGAATTGAACCCTTCTTCTGATTGAGCAGTTTGGAATCAGTCTTTTTGTAGAATCTGTGAATGTGCATTTAGAGAGTTTTAAGGCCTAGGGTGCAAAAGGCAATGTCTTCACATAAAAACGACACAGTAGATTTTCGAGAAAACTCTTTGTGACATTTCCATTCATCTCTAATAGTTGACCATTTCCTTTCATTGAGCAGTTTGGGAGCAGTCTTTTCCTACAAACTGCAAAGGGATATTTCTGAGCGGTTTGGGGCCAACGGTGAAAAATAAATATCTTCCCATGAAAACTAGACAGAAGCATTTTGAGAAACTTCTTTTTGATGTGTGTATTCATCTCACAGAGTTGAACCTTTCTTTTGATTTAGCAATCTGGAGAAAGTCTCTAGGTCGTTTAATTGGAGTTATATTTGTGAGCGGTTTAAGGCCTATGGTGCCAAAGGAAATACGTTCACATAAAATGTAGACAGAAGCTTTCCGGGAAACTTCTTTGTGATGTGTGCTTTCGTCTCACAGAGTTGCGCCTTTCTTTTGATTGACCAGTTTGGGAACATTCTTTTTGTAGAATCTGCAAATGGATATTTGGAGCAATTTGTGGCCTACGGTGAAAAAGGAAATATCTTCACATAAAAACTAGACAGGAGAATCCTGAGAAACTTCTTTTTGATGAGTGCATTCATTTCACATAGTTGAAACATGCTATATGGGCCAGTTTGGAAACGGTCTTTTGGTAGAGTCTGCAGACAGATATTTTTGAGTGGCTTAAAGACTATGGTGAAAAAGGAAACATCTTCACATAGCAACCAGACAGAAGCAACCTGAGAAACGTCTTTGGGATGTGTTCATTCATCTCACAATGTTGAACGTTGCTCTTGATTGAGAAGTTTGTAAGGAGAACATTTGTAGAATCTGCAAAGGGATATATGTGAGCCCCTTGATTTCCTATGGCAAAATAGGAATCATCTTGAGATAAAAGCGAGATAGAAGATTTCTGAGAAACTTTTTCGTGATGTGTGCTTTCATCTCACAGAGTTGAAAATTTCTTTTCACTGAGCAGTTTGGAAACAGTCTTTTCGTATCATCTGCAAACGGATGTTTGGAGCGCTTTGTGGCCTAAGGTGAAAATGGAAACATCTTCACATAAAAACTAGACAGAAGAATTCTGAGGAACTTCTTTATGATGTGTGCATTCATCTCAGATAGGTGAAATTTTCTTTTGATGGAGCAGTTTGGAAACAGTCTTTTTCTAGTATCTGCAGAAGGATATTTGTGAGCGGTGTAAGGCCTATGGTGAAAAAGGAAATATCTTCACATAAAAACCAGACAGAAGCTTTCTGAGGAACTTCTTTGTGAGGTGTGCATTCATCTCACCGTGTTGAAACTTTATTTTATTTGAGCAGTTTAGAGACAGTCTTTCTCTGCAATCTGCAAAGGTCTAATTCTGAGCCCTTTGAGGTCTATGGTGAAAAAGAAATATCTTCCCATTTAAACTAGACAGAAGCATTCTGAGGAACTTCTTTGTGATGTCTCCATTCATCTGACAGAGTTGAAGGTTTCTTTTAATTCAGCACTTTGGAAAGCATATTTTTGTAGAATCTGCAAAAGGATATTTTTGAGACATTTGAAGCCTATAGTGAAATAGTAAATATCTTCACATGAAAACTAGACAGGAGAATTCTGAGAAACTTCATTCTGATGTGTGCATTAACCTCACAGAATTTAACCTTTCTTTTGATTGAGAAGTATGGAAATGGTGGTCTTTTAGAATCTGGAAAGGGATATTTCTTAGCCCTTTGAGGCCTATGGTGAGACTGGAAATATCATCACATGAAAACTAGACCGAAGCTTTCGGAGAAACTTCTTTGAGATGTGTGCTTTCACCTCACAGAGTTAAACACTTTCTTTTGATGGAGCAGTTTGGAAACACTCTTTCTGTGACATCTGTAAATGGATATTAGGAGTGCTTTGAGGCCAATGGTGACAAAGGAAGTATCTTCACATAAAAACTACACAGAAGTTTTCTGAGAAACTACTTTTTGATGTGTCCATTAACCTAACAGAGTTAAAACTTTCTTTTTATTGAGCAGTTTGGGTACAGTCTTTTTGTAGAATCTGCAAAACATATTTGTGAGCCCTTTATTGCCTATGGTGGAATAGGAATCTTCTTCACATATAAAGTAGACAGAAGCATTCTGAGGAACGTCTTCGTGACGTGCGCATTCATCTCACATAGTTGAAACTTTCTTTGGATTGAGCAGTTTTGAAACAGTCCTTTTGTAGGATCTGCAAGGGGATATTTCTGAGCCCATTGAGTACTGTGATGCAATGTGAAGTATCTTCACATAAAAACTACACAGAAGCTTTCTAAGAAACTTCGTTGTGATGTGTGCTTTCATCTCACAGAATTGAAACTATCCTTTGATTGAGGAGTTTGGAAACACTCTTTTTCTAGAATCTGCAAATGGATATTTGGAGAGCTTTTGAGGCCCGTGGTGAAAAACGAAATATCTTCACGTAAAAACTAAACAGAAGCTTTCTGAGAAACTCCCTTGCGATGTGTGCATTCACCTCACCGAGTGGAAACTTTCTTTTGATTGAGCAGATTGGAAAGAGGCTTATCGTACAATCTGCAAAGGGAGAATTCTGATCCGTTTGAGGCTTATGGTGAAAGAGAAATATCTTCCCATAAAAACTAGACGGAAGCATTCCAAGAAATTGTTTGTGATGTGTCCATTCACGTCACAGAGTTGAACCTCTCCTTTGATTGAGCCGTTTGGAAACAGTCTTTTTGTAGAACCTGCAAAGGGATATTTGTGAGCCCTTTATGGCCTGTGGTGAAATACGAAGTATCTTCACCTAAAAACTAGACAGAAGGTTTCTGAGAAACTTCTTGGTGATGTGTGCCTTCATCTCACAGTGTTGAACCTTCTTTTGATTGAGCAGTTTGGAAAGTCTTTCTGTAGAATCTGCAAATGGATATTTGGAGATATTTGAGGCCCGTGGTGAAAAAGGAGGTATCGTCACCTAAAAACCAGACAGAAGATTTCTTAAAAACCTCTTTGTGATGTGTGAATTCATGTCACAGAATTCAACCTTTCTTTCAGTTGAGCAGTTTGGAAACAGTCTTTGGTAGAAGCTGCAGAGGGAAATTTCTTAGCTGCTTGAGGCCTATGGTGAAAAAGAAATATCTTCACAGAAAAACTAGACAGAAGCTTTCTGAGAAACTTCTTCGTGATGTGTCCATTCATCTCACAGAGTTAAACCTTTCTTTTGATTGAGGAGTTTGGAAAACGTCTTTTCTTAGAATCTGCGAAGGGATATTTGTGAGCCCTTTATGGCCTTTGTTGAAATATGAAATATCTTCACATAAAAAGTAGACAGAGGCTTTCTGACAAATTTCTTGGTGATGTGCACGTTTGTCACACGGAAATTGAACCCTTCTTCTGATTGAGCAGTTTGGAATCAGTCTTTTTGTAGAATCTGTGAATGTGTATTTAGAGAGTTTTAAGGCCTAGGGTGCAAGAGGCAATGTCTTCACATAAAAACGACACAGTGGCTTTTTGAGAAAACTCTTTGTGACATTTCCATTCATCTCTAATAGTTGGCCATTTCCTTACATTGAGCAGTTTGGAAGCAGTCTTTTTCTACAAACTGCAAAGGGATATTTCTGAGCGGTTTGGGGCCAATGGTGAAAAATAAATATCTTCCCATGAAAACTAGACGGAAGCATTTTGAGAAACTTCTTTTTGATGTGTGTATTCATCTCACAGAGTTGAACCTTTCTTTTGATTTAGCAATTTGGAGAAAGTCTCTTGGTAGTATAAGTGGAGTTATATTTGCGAGCGGTTTAAGGCCTATGGTGCCAAAGGAAATACCTTCACATAAAATGTAGACAGAGGATTTCCGAGAAACTTCTTTGTGATGTGTGCTTTCGTCTCACAGAGTTGCGCCTTTCTGTTGATTGACCAGTTTGGGAACATTCTTTTTGTAGAATCTGCAAATGGATATTTGGAGCAATTTGTGGCCTACGGTGAAAAAGGAAATATCTTCACATGAAAACTAGACAGGAGACTCCTGAAAAACTACTTTTTGATGAGTGCATTCGTTTCACATAGTTGAAACATGCCATATGGGCCAGTTTGGAAAGAGTCTTTTTGTAGAGTCTGCAGACAGATATTTTTGAGTGGCTTAAAGACTATGGTGAAAAAGGAAACATCTTCACATAGCAACCAGACAGAAGCAACCTGAGAAACTTCTTTGGGATGTGTTCATTCATCTCCCAATGTTGAACGTTTCTTTTGATTGAGAAGTTTGTAAAGAGAACTTTTGTAGAATCCGCAAAGGGATATATGTGAGCCCCTTGATTCCTATGGCAAAATAGGAATTATCTTGAGATAAAAGCGAGACAGAAGATTTCTGAGAAACTTTTTTGTGATGTGTGCTCTCATCTCACAGAGTTGAAAATTTCTTTTGATTGAGCAGTTTGGAAACAGTCTTTTCGTATCATCTGCAAACGGATGTTTGGAGCGCTTTGTGGCCTAAGGTGAAAATGGAAACATCTTCACATAAAAACTAGACAGAAGAATTCTGAGGAACTTCTTTATGATGTGTGCATTCATCTCAGATGGGTGAAATTTTCTTTTGATGGAGCAGTTTGGAAACAGTCTTTTTCCAGTATCTGCAAAAGGATATTTGTGAGCGGTGTAAGGCCTATGGTGGAAAAGGAAATATCTTCACATAAAAACCAGACAGAAGCCTTCTGAGGAACTTCTTTGTGATGTGTGCGTTCATCTCACCGTGTTGAAACTCTATTTTATTTGAGCAGTTTAGAGACAGTCTTTCTCTGCAATCTGCAAAGGTCTAACTCTGAGCCCTTTGAGGTCTATGGTGAAAAAGAATTGTCTTCACATTTAAACTAGACAGAAGCATTCTGAGGAACTTCTTCGTGATGTCTCCATTCATCTGACAGAGTTCAAGGTTTCTTTTAATTCAGCACTTTGGAAAGCATATTTTTGTAGAATCTGCAAAGGGATATTTTTGAGACATTTGAAGCCTATAGTGAAATAGTAAATATCTTCACATGAAAACTAGACAGGAGAATTCTGAGAAACTTCATTCTGATGTGTGCATTAACCTCACCGAATTTAACCTTTCTTTTGATTGAGAAGTATGGAAATGGTGGTCTTTTAGAATCTGGAAAGGGATATTTCTTAGCCCTTTGAGGCCTATGGTGAGACTGGAAATATCATCGCATGAAAACTAGACCGAAGCTTTCGGAGAAACTTCTTTGAGATGTGTGCTTTCACCTCACAGAGTAAAACACTTTCTTTTGATTGAGCAGTTTGGAAACACTCTTTCTGTGACATCTGTAAATGGATATTAGGAGTGCTTTGAGGCCAATGGTGACAAAGGAAGTATCTTCACATAAAAACTACACAGAAGTTTTCTGAGAAACTACTTGTTGATGTGTCCATTGATGTAACAGAGTTAAAACTTTCTTTTTATTGAGCAGTTTGGATACAGTCTTTTTGTAGAATCTGCAAAAATATTTGTGAGCCCTTTATTGCCTATGGTGAAAGAGGAATCTTCTTCACATGTAAACAAGACAGAAGCATTCTGAGGAACGTCTTCGTGACGTGCGCATTCATCTCACATAGTTGAAACTTTCTTTGGATTGAGCAGTTTTGAAACAGTCCTTTTGTAGGATCTGCAAGGGGATATTTCTGAGCCCATTGAGTACTGTGATGCAATGTGAAGTATCTTCACATAAAAACTAGACAGACGCTTTCTAAGAAACTTCGTTGTGATGTGTGCTTTCGTCTCACAGAATTGAAACTATCCTTTGATTGAGGAGTTTGGAAACACTCTTTTTCTAGTGTCTGCAAATGGATATTTGGAGAGCTTTTGAGGCCCGTGGTGAAAAACGAAATATCTTCACGTAAAAACTAAACAGAAGCTTTCTGAGAAACTCCCTTGCGATGTGTGCATTCACCTCACCGAGTGGAAACTTTCTTTTGATTGAGCAGATTGGAAAGAGGCTTATCGTACAATCTGCAAAGGGAGAATTCTGATCCGTTTGAGGCCTATGGTGAAAGAGAAATATCTTCCCATAAGAACTAGACGGAAGCATTCCAAGAAATTTTTTGTGATGTGTCCATTCACGTCACAGAGTTGAACCTCTCCTTTGATTGGGCAGTTTGGAAACAGTCTTTTTGTAGAACCTGCAGAGGGATATTTGTGAGCCCTTTATGGCCTGTGGTGAAATACGAAGTATCTTCACCTAAAAACTAGACAGAAGGTTTCTGAGAAACTTCTTGGTGATGTGTGCCTTCATCTCACAGTGTTGAACCTTTCTTTTGATTGAGCAGTTTGGAAAGTCTCTCTGTAGAATCTGCAAATGGATATTTGGAGATATTTGAGTCCCGTGCTGAAAAAGGAAGTATCGTCACCTAAAAACCAGACAGAAGATTTCTGAAAAACCTCTTTGTGATGTGTGAATTCATGTCACAGAATTCAACCTTTCTTTCAGTTGAGCAGTTTGGAAACAGCCTTTGGTAGAAGCTGCAGAGGGAAATTTCTTAGCTGCTTGAGGCCTATGGTGAAAAAGAAATATCTTCACAGAAAAACTAGACAGAAGCTTTCTGAGAAACTTCTTCGTGATGTGTCCATTCATCTCACAGAGTTAAACCTTTCTTTTGATTGAGGAGTTTGGAAAACGTCTTTTCTTAGAATCTGCGAAGGGATATTTGTGAGCCCTTTATGGCCTTTGTTGGAATATGAAATATCTTCACATAAAAAGTAGACAGAAAGCTTTCTGACAAATTCCTTGGTGATGTGCACGTTTGTCACACGGAATTGAACCCTTCTTCTGATTGAGCAGTTTGGAATCAATCTTTTTGTAGAATCTGTGAATGTGTATATAGAGAGTTTTAAGGCCTAGGGTGCCAAAGGCAATGTCTTCACATAAAAACGACACAGTAGCTTTTTGAGAAAACTCTTTGTGACATTTCCATTCATCTCTAATAGTTGACCATTTCCTTTCATTGAGCAGTTTGGAAGCAGTCTTTTTCTACAAACTGCAAAGGGATATTTCTGAGCGGTTTGGGGCCAACGGTGAAAAATAAATATCTTCCCATGAAAACTAGACAGAAGCATTTTGAGAAACTTCTTTTTGATGTGTGTATTCATCTCACAGAGTTGAACCTTTCTTTTGATTTAGCAATTTGGAGAAAGTCTCTTGGTAGTATAAGTGGAGTTATATTTGCGAGCGGTTTAAGGCCTATGGTGCCAAAGGAAATACCTTCACATAAAATGCAGACAGAGGCTTTCCGAGAAACTTCTTTGTGATGTGTGCTTTCGTCTCACAGAGTTGCGCCTTTCCTTTGATTGACCAGTTTGGGAACATTCTTTTTGTAGAATCTGCAAATGGATATTTGGAGCAATTTGTGGCCTACGGTGAAAAAGGAAATATCTTCACATAAAAACTAGACAGGAGAATCCTGAGAAACTTCTTTTTGATGAGTGCATTCATTTCACATAGTTGAAACATGCTATATGGGCCAGTTTGGAAACAGTCTTTTGGTAGAGTCTGCAGACAGATATTTTTGAGGGGCTTAAAGACTATGGTGAAAAAGGAAACATCTTCACATAGCAACCAGACAGAAGCAACCTGAGAAACGTCTTTGGAATGTGTTCATTCATCTCACAATGTTGAACGTTTCTTTTGATTGAGAAGTTTGTAAGGAGAACATTTGTAGAATCTGCAAAGGGGTATATGTGAGCCCCTTGATTCCTATGGCAAAATAGGAATTATCTTGAGATAAAAGCGAGACAGAAGATTTCTGAGAAACTTTTTTGTGATGTGTGCTTTCATCTCACAGAGTTGAAAATTAATCTTGATTGAGCAGTTTGGAAACAGTCTTTTCGTATCATCTGCAAACGGATGTTTGGGGCGCTTTGTGGCCTAAGGTGAAAATGGAAACATCTTCACATAAAAACTAGACAGAAGCAATTCTGAGGAACTTCTGTATGATGTGTGCATTCATCTCAGATAGGTGAAATTTTCTTTTGATGGAGCAGTTTGGAAACAGTCTTTTTATAGTATCTGCAGAAGGATATTCGTGAGCGGTGTAAGGCCTATGGTGAAAAAGGAAATATCTTCACATTAAAACCAGACAGAAGCCTTCTGAGGAACTTCTTTGTGATGTGTGCGTTCATCTCGCCGTGTTGAAACTTTATTTTATTTGAGCAGTTTAGAGACAGTCTTTCTCTGCAATCTGCAAAGGTCTAACTCTGAGCCCTTTGAGGTCTATGGTGAAAAAGAAATGTCTTCACATTTAAACTAGACAGATGCATTCTGAGGAACTTCTTCGTGATGTCTCCATTCATCTGACAGAGTTGAAGGTTTCTTTTAATTCAGCACTTTGGAAAGCATATTTTTGTAGAATCTGCAAAGGGATATTTTTGAGACATTTGAAGCCTATAGTGAAATAGTAAATATCTTCACGTGAAAACTAGACAGGAGAATTCTGAGAAACTTCATTCTGATGTGTGCATTAACCTCACAGAATTTAACCTTTCTTTTGATTGAGAAGTATGGAAATGGTGGTCTTTTAGAACCTGGAAAGGGATATTTCTTAGCCCTTTGAGGCCTATGGTGAGACTGGAAATATCATCACATGAAAACTAGACCGAAGCTTTCGGAGAAACTTCTTTGAGATGTGTGCTTTCACCTCACAGAGTTAAACACTTTCTTTTGATTGAGCAGTTTGGAAACACTCTTTCTGTGACATCTGTAAATGGATATTAGGAGTGCTTTGAGGCCAATGGTGACAAAGGAAATATCTTCACATAAAAACTACACAGAAGTTTTCTGAGAAACTACTTGTTGATGTGTCCATTAATGTAACAGAGTTAAAACTTTCTTTTTATTGAGCAGTTTGGATACAGTCTTTTTGGAGAATCTGCAAAAAATATTTGTGAGCCCTTTATTGCCTATGGTGAAATAGGAATCTTCTTCACATGTAAACAAGACAGAAGCATTCTGAGGAACATCTTCGTGACGTGCGCATTCATCTCACATAGTTGAAACTTTCTTTGGATTGAGCAGTTTTGAAACAGTCCTTTTGTAGGATCTGCAAGGGGATATTTCTGAGACCATTGAGTACTGTGATGCAATGTGAAGTATCTTCACATAAAAACTACACAGACGCTTTCTAAGAAACTTCGTTGTGATGTGTGCTTTCGTCTCACAGAATTGAAACTATCCTTTGATTGAGGAGTTTGGAAACACTCTTTTTCTAGAATATGCAAATGGATATTTGGAGAGCTTTTGAGGCCCGTGGTGAAAAACGAAATATCTTCACGTAAAAACTAAACAGAAGCTTTCTGAGAAACTCCCTTGCGTTGTGTGCATTCACCTCACCGAGTGGAAACTTTCTTTTGATTGAGCAGATTGGAAAGAGGCTTATCGTACAATCTGCAAAGGGAGAATTCTGATCCGTTTGAGGCTTATGGTGAAAGAGAAATATCTTCCCATAAAAACTAGACGGAAGCATTCCAAGAAATTTTTTGTGATGTGTCCATTCACGTCACAGAGTTGAACCTCTCCTTTGATTGGGCAGTTTGGAAACAGTCTTTTTGTAGAACCTGCAAAGGGATATTTGTGAGCCCTTTATGGCCTGTGGTGAAATACGAAGTATCTTCACCTAAAAACTAGACAGAAGGTTTCTGAGAAACTTCTTGGTGATGTGTGCCTTCATCTCACAGTGTTGAACCTTTCTTTTGATTGAGCAGTTTGGAAAGTCTTTCTGTAGAATCTGCAAATGGATATTTGGAGATATTTGAGGCCCGTTTTGAAAAAGGAAGTATCTTCACCTAAAAACCAGACAGGAGATTTCTGAAAAACCTCTTTGTGATGTGTGAATTCATGTCACAGAATTCAACCTTTCTTTCACTTGAGCAGTTTGGAAACAGTCTTTGGTAGAAGCTGCAGAGGGAAATTTCTTAGCTGCTTGAGGCCTATGGTGAAAAAGAAATATCTTCACAGAAAAACTAGACAGAAGCTTTCTGAGAAACTTCTTCATGATGTGTCCATTCATCACACAGAGTTAAACCTTTCTTTTGATTGAGGAGTTTGGAAAACGTCTTTTCTTAGAATCTGCGAAGGGATATTTGTGAGCCCTTTATGGCCTTTGTTGAAATATGAAATATCTTCACATAAAAAGTAGACAGAGGCTTTCTGACAAATTTCTTGGTGATGTGCACGTTTGTCACACGGAATTGAACCCTTCTTCTGATTGAGCAGTTTGGAATCAGTCTTTTTGTAGAATCTGTGAATGTGTATTTAGAGAGTTTTAAGGCCTAGGGTGCAAGAGGCAATGTCTTCACATAAAAACGACACAGTAGCTTTTTGAGAAAACTCTTTGCGACATTTCCATTCATCTCTAATAGTTGACCATTTCCTTTCATTGAGCAGTTTGGAAGCAGTCTTTTTCTACAAACTGCAAAGGGATATTTCTGAGCGGTTTTGGGCCATCGGTGAAAAATAAATGTCTTCCCATGAAAACTAGACAGAAGCATTTTGAGAAACTTCTTTTTGATGTGTGTATTCATCTCAAAGAGTTGAACCTTTCTTTTGATTTAGCAATTTGGAGAAAGTCTCTTGGTAGTATAAGTGGAGTTATATTTGCGAGCGGTTTAAGGTCTATGGTGCCAAAGGAAATACCTTCACATAAAATGCAGACAGAGGCTTTCCGAGAAACTTCTTTGTGATGTGTGCTTTCGTCTCACAGAGTTGCGCCTTTCTTTTGATTGACCAGTTTGGGAACATTCTTTTTGTAGAATCTGCAAATGGATATTTGGAGCAATTTGTGGCCTACGGTGAAAAAGGAAATATCTTCACATAAAAACTAGACAGGAGAATCCTGAGAAACTTCTTTTTGATGAGTGCATTCATTTCACATAGTTGAAACATGCTATATGGGCCAGTTTGGAAACAGTCTTTTTGTAGAGTCTGCAGACAGGTATGTTTGAGTGGCTTAAAGACCATGGTGAAAAAGGAAACATCTTCACATAGCAACCAGACAGAAGCAACCTGAGAAACGTCTTTGGGATGTGTTCATTCATCTCACAATGTTGAACGTTTCTTTTGATTGAGAAGTTTGTAAGGAGAACATTTGTAGAATCTGCAAAGGGGTATATGTGAGCCCCTTGATTCCTATGGCAAAATAGGAATTATCTTGAGATAAAAGCGAGACAGAAGATTTCTGAGAAACTTTTTTGTGATGTGTGCTTTCATCTCACAGAGTTGAAAATTTCTTTTGATTGAGCAGTGTGGAAACAGTCTTTTCGTATCATCTGCAAATGGATGTTTGGGGCGCTTTGTGGCCTAATGTGAAAATGGAAACACCTTCACATAAAAACTAGACAGAAGAATTCTGAGGAACTTCTGTATGATGTGTGCATTCATCTCAGATAGGTGAAATTTTCTTTTGATGGAGCAGTTTGGAAACCGTCTTTTTATAGTATCTGCAGAAGGATATTCGTGAGCGGTGTAAGACCTATGGTGAAAAAGGAAATATCTTCACATAAAAACCAGACAGAAGCTTTCTGAGGAACTTCTTTGTGATGTGTACATTCATCTCACCGTGTTGAAACTTTATTTTATTTGAGCAGTTTAGAGACAGTCTTTCTCTGCAATCTGCAAAGGTCTAATTCTGAGCCCTTTGAGGTCTATGGTGAAAAAGAAATATCTTCACATTTAAACTAGACAGAAGCATTCTGAGGAACTTCTTCGTGATGTCTCCATTCATCTGACAGAGTTGAAGGTTTCTTTTAATTCAGCACTTTGGAAAGCATATTTTTGTAGAATCTGCAAAGGGATATTTTTGAGACATTTGAAGCCTATAGTGAAATAGTAAATATCTTCACGTGAAAACTAGACAGGAGAATTCTGAGAAACTTCATTCTGATGTGTGCATTAACCTCACAGAATGTAACCTTTCTTTTGATTGAGAAGTATGGAAATGGTGGTCTTTTAGAATCTGGAAAGGGATATTTCTTAGCCCTTTGAGGCCTATGGTGAGACTGGAAATATCATCACATGAAAACTAGACCGAAGCTTTCGGAGAAACTTCTTTGAGATGTGTGCTTTCACCTCACAGAGTTAAACACTTTCTTTTGATGGAGCAGTTTGGAAACACTCTTTCTGTGACATCTGTAAATGGATATTAGGAGTGCTTTGAGGCCAATGGTGACAAAGGAAGTATCTTCACAGAAAAACTACACAGA
>NC_000021.9:11029552-11093087 GCF_000001405.40 Homo sapiens
AGCTTTCTGAGCAAACTTCTTTGTGATGTGTGCATTCATCTCACAGTGTTGAAACTTTATTTTATTTGAGCAGTTTAGAGACAGACTTTTTCTGCAATCTGCAAAGGTATATTTCTGAGCCATTTGAGGTCTGTGGTGAAAAAGGAATATCTTCACATTTAAACTAGACAGAAGAATTCTGAGAAACTTCTTTATGATGTGTGCATTCATCTCAGGTAGGTGAAATTTTCTTTTGATGGAGCAGTTTGGAAACAGTCTTTTTCTAGTATCTGCAGAAGGATATTTGTGAGCGGTGTAAGGACTACGCTGAAAAAGGAAATATCTTCACATAAAAACTAGACAGAAGATTTCTGAGAAACTTTTTTGTGATGGGTGCTTTCATCTCACAGAGTTGAAAATTTCTTTTGATTGAGCAGTTTGGAAACAGTCTTTTCGTATCATCTGCAAAGGGATGTGTGGAGCGCTTTGTGGCCTAACGTGAAAATGGAAATATCTTCACATAAAATCTAGACAGAAGCATTCTGAGAAACTTCTTTGTGATGTGTTCATTCATCTCACAATGTTGAACGTTTCTTTTGATTGAGAGGTTTGTAAACACAACTTTTGTAGAATCTGCAAAGGGATATTTGTGAGCCCCTTGATTCCTATGGCAAAATAGGAATTATCTTGTCATAAAAACTAGACAGGAGAATTCTGAGAAACTTCTCTTTGATGAGTGCATTCATTTCACATAGTTGAAACATGCTATATGGGCCAGTTTGGAAACAGTCTTTTTGTAGGGTCTGCAGACAGATATTTTTGAGTGGCTTAAAGACTGTGGTGAAAAAAGAAATATCTTCACAGAGTAACCAGACAGAAGCTTTCTGAGAAACTTCTTTATGATGTGTGCTTTCGTCTCAGAGAGTTGAGCCTTTCTGTTGATTGACCAGTTTGGAAACATTCTTTCTGTAGAATCCGCAAATGGATATTTGGAGCAATTTGCGGCCTACGGTGAAGAAGGAAATATCTTCACATAAAAACTAGACAGAAGCATTTTGAGAAACTTCTTTTTGATGTGTGTATTCATCTCACAGAGTTGAACGTTTCTTTTGATTTAGCGATTTGGAGAAAGTCTCTTGGTAGTATAAGCGGAGTTATGTTTGTGAGTGGTTTAAGGCCTACGGTGCCAAAGGAAATACCTTCACATAAAATGTAGACAGAAGCATTTTGAGAGAACTCCTTGTGACATTTCCATTCATCTCTAATAGTTGACCATTTCTTCTCATTGAGCAGTTTGGAAACAGTCTTTTCCTACAAACTGCAAAGGGATATTTCTGAGCCGTTTGGGGCCAATGGTGAAAAATAAATATCTTCACATGAAAACTAGGCAGAAGCTTTCTGAGAAACTCCTTTGTGGTGTGCACGTTTGTATCACAGAGTTGAACCTTTCATTTGATTGAGCAGTTTGGAAACAGTCTTTTTGTAGAATCTGCAAATGTATATTTGGAGTGTTTTAAGGCCTATAGTGAAAAAGGAAATATCTTCACATAAAAACTACACAGTAGCTTTCTGAGAAACTTCTTTGTGATGTGTCCCTTCATCGCACAGAGTGAAACCTGTCTTTTGATTTAGGAGTTTGAAAAATGTCTTTTCTTAGAATCTGCAAAGGGATATTTGTGAGCCCTTTATGGCCTTTGTTGAAATATGAAATATCTTCACGTAAAAAGTAGAGAGAAAGATTTCTGAAAAACCTCTTTGTGATGTGTGAATTCATGTCACAGAATTCAACCTTCCTTTCAGTTGAGCAGTTTGGAACCAGTCTTTTGTAGAAGCTGCAGAGGGAAATTTCTTAGCTGCTTGAGGCCTATGGTGAACAAGAAATAGCCTCACATAAAAACTAGACAGAAGATTTCTGAGAAACTTCTTTGTGATGTGTGCCTTCAACTCACTGTGTTGAAACTTTCTTTTGATTGAGCAGTTTGGGAAGTCTTTCTGTAGAATCTGCAAATGGATATTTGGAGATATTTGAGGCCCTTGGTGAAAAAGGAAGTATCTTCACATAAAAACTAGACAGAATCATTCCAAGAAATTTCCTGCGATGTGTCCATTCACGTCACAGAGTTGAACCTTTCTTTTGATTGAGCAGTTTGGAAACAGTCTTTTTGTAGAACCTGCAAAGGGATATTTGTGAGCCCCTTATGGCCTGTGGTGAAATACGAAATATCTTCACATAAAAACTAGACAGGAGCTTTCTGAGAAACTCCCTTGCGATGTGTGTATTCACCTCACCGAGTGGAAACTTTCTTTTGATTGAGCAGATTGGAAAGAGACTTATCGTACAATCTGCAAAGGGAGAATTCTGATCCGTTTGAGGCTAATGGTGAAAGAGAAACATCTTCCCATAAAAACTAGACGGAAGCTTTCTAAGAAACTTCGGTGTGATGTGTGTTTTCATCTCACGGAATTGAAACTTTCTTTTGATTGAGGAGTTTGGAAACACTCTTTTTCTAGAATCTGCAAATGGATATTTGGAGAGCTCCTGAGGCCCATGTTGAAAAACGAAACATCTTCACGTAAAAACTAAACAGAAGCATTCTGAGGAACTTCTTTGTGATGTGTGCATTCATCTCACATAGTTGAAACTTTCTTTGGATTGAGCAGTTTTGAAACAGTCTTTTTGTAGAATCTGCCAAGGGATATTTCTGAGCCCATTGAGTACTATGATGCACTGTGAAGTATCTTCACATAAAAACTAGACAGAAGTTTTCTGAGAAACTACTTTTCGATGTGTCCATTAATCAAACAGAGTTAAAACTTTCTTTTTATTGAGCAGTTTGGATACAGTCTTTCTTTAGAATCTGCAAAAAATATTTGCGAGCCCTTTATTGCCTATGGTGAAATAGGAATCTTCTTCACATATAAACTGGACAGAAGCTTTCTGAGAAACTCCTTTGAGATGTGTGTTTTCACCTCACTGAGTTAAACACTTTCTTTTGATTGAGCTGTTTGGAAACACTCTTTTTGTGAAATCTGTAAATGGATATTAGGAGTGCTTTGAGGCCAATGGTGACAAAGGAAATATCTTCACATAAAAACTAAACAGAAGAATTCTGAGAAACTTCATTCTGACGTGGGCATTAACCTCAGAGAATTTAACCTTTCTTTTGATTGAGAAGTATGGAAACGGTCGTCTTTTAAAATCTGGAATGGGATATTTCTTAGCCCTTTGAGGCCTACGGTGAAACTGGAAATATCTTCACATGAAAAGTAGACCGAAGCATTCCGAGGAACTTCTTTGTGATGTCTCTATTCATCTGACAGATTTGAAGGTTTCTTTTAATTCAGCACTTTGGAAAGCATATTTTTGTAGAATCTGCAAAGGGATATTTTTGAGACCTTTGAAGCCTATAGTGAAATAGTAAATATCTTCACATAGAAACTAGACAGGAGCTTTCTGAGAAACTTCTTTGTGATGTGTGCATTCATCTCACAGTGTTGAAACTTTATTTTATTTGAGCAGTTTAGAGACAGTCTCTTTCTACAATCTGCAAAGGTATATTTCTGAGCCATTTGAGGTCTGTGGTGAAAAAGGATTATCTTCACATTTAAACTAGACAGAAGAATTCTGAGAAACTTTTTTAAGATGTGTGCATTCAGCTCAGGTAGGTGAAATTTTCTTTTGAGGGAGCAGTTTGGAAACAGTCTTTTTCTAGTATCTGCAGAAGGATATTTGTGAGCGGTGTAAGGACTATGGTGAAAAAGGAAATATCTTCACATAAAAACTAGACAGAAGATATCTGAGAAACTTTTTTGTGATGGGTGCTTTCATCTCACAGAGTTGAAAATTTCTTTTGATTGAGCAGTTTGGAAACAGTCTTTTCGTATCATCTGCAAAGGGATGTTTGGAGCGCTTTGTGGCCTAAGGTGAAAATGGAAATATCCTCACATAAAATTCTAGACAGAAGCATTCTGAGAAACTTCTTTGTGATGTGTTCATTCACCTCACAATGTTGAACGTTTCTTTTGATTGAGAGGTTTGTAAACAGAACTTTTGTAGAATCTGCAAAGGGATATTTGTGAGCCCCTTGATTCCTATGGCAAAATAGGAATTCTCTTTAGATAAAAACTAGACAGAAGAATTCTGAGAAACTTCTCTTTGATGAGTGCATTCATTTCACATTGTTGAAACATGCTATATGGGCCATTTTGGAAACAGTCTTTTTGTAGTGTCTGCAGACAGATATTTTTGAGTGGCTTAAAGACTGTGGTGAAAAAAGAAATATCTTCACAGAGTAACCAGACAGAAGCTTTCTGAGAAACTTCTTTGTGATGTGTGCTTTCGTCTCACAGAGTTGAGCCTTTCTGTTGATTGACCAGTTTGGAAACATTCTTTCTGTAGAATCCGCAAATGGATATTTGGAACAATTTGCGGCCTACGGTGAAGAAGGAAATATCTTCACATAAAAACTAGACAGAAGCATTTTGAGAAACTTCTTTGTGATGTGTGCATTCTTCTCAAAGAGTTGAAACTTTCTTTTGATTTAGCAATTTGGAGAAAGTCTCTTGGTAGTATAAGTGGAGTTATATTTGTGAGCGGTTTAAGGCCTATGGTGCAAAAGGAAATACTTTCACATGAAATGTAGACAGAAGCTTTATGTGAAAACTCTTTGTGACATTTCCATTCATCTCTAATAGTTGACCATTTCTTTTCATTGAGCAGTTTGGAAACAGTCTTTTCCTACAAACTGCAAAGGGATATTTCTGAGCCGTTTGGGGCCAATGGTGAAAAATAAATATCTTCCCATGAAAACTAGACAGAAGCTTTCTGACAAATTTCTTGGTGATGTGCACGTTTGTCACACGGAATTGAACCCTTCTTCTGATTGAGCAGTTTGGAATCAGTCTTTTTGTAGAATCTGTGAATGTGTATTTAGAGAGTTTTAAGGCCTAGGGTGCAAAAGGCAATGTCTTCACATAAAAACGACACAGTAGCTTTCTGAGAAACTTCTTTGTGATGTGTCCATTCATCGCACAGAGTGAAACCTTTCTTATGATTGAGGAGTTTGGAAAATGTCTTTCCTTAGAATCTGCAAAGGGATATTTGTGAGCCCTTTATGGCCTTTGTTGAAATATGAAATATCTTCACATAAAAAGTAGACAGAAGATTTCTGAAAAACCTCTCTGTGATGTGTGAATTCATGTCACAGAATTCAACCTTCCTTTCAGTTGAGCAGTTTGGAACCAGTCTTTTGTAGAAGCTGCAGAGGGAAATTTCTTAGCTGCTCGAGGCCTATGGTGAACAAGAAATAGCCTCACATAAAAAGTAGACAGAAGTATTTTGAGAAACTTCTTTGTGATGTGTGCTTTCATTTCACAGAGTTGAATCTTTCTTTTGATTGAGCAGCTTGGAAACAGTCTTTTTGTACAAGCTGCAAAGGGATATTTCTGAGCCATTTGAGGCTTATGGTGAAAACGAAATATCTGCACATAAAAACCTGACAGAATCATTCCAAGAAATTGTTTGTGATGTGTCCATTCACGTCACAGAGTTGAACCTTTCTTTTGATTGAGCAGTTTGGCAACAGACTTTTTGTGGAACCTGCAAAGGGATATTTGTGAGCCCCTTATGGCCTGTGGTGAAATACGAAATATCTTCACATAAAAACTAGACAGGAGCTTTCTGAGAAACTCCCTTGTGATGTGTGCATTCACCTCACAGAGTTGAAACTTTCTTTTGATTGAGCAGATTGGAAAGAGGCTTATTGTACAATCTGCAAAGGGAGAATTCTGATCCTTTTGAGGCTTCTGGTGAAAGAGAAACATCTTCCCATAAAAACTAGACGGAAGCTTTCTAAGAAACTTCGGTGTGATGTGTGCTTTCATCTCACAGAATTGAAACTTTCTTTTGATTGAGGAGTTTGGAAACACTCTTTTTCTAGAATCTGCAAATGGATATTTGGAGAGCTTTTGAGGCCCATGTTGAAAAACGAAACATCTTCACGTAAAAACGAAACAGAAGCAGTCTGAGAAACTTCTTTGTGATGTATGCATTCATCTCACATAGTTGAAACTGTCTTTGGATTGAGCAGTTTGGAAACAGTCCTCTTGTAGAATCTGCAAAGGGATATTTCTGAGCCCATTGAGTACTATGGTGCAATGTGAAATATCTTCACATAAAAACTAGACAGAAGTTTTCTGAGAAACTACTTTTCGATGTGTCCATTAATCAAACAGAGTTAAAACTTTCTTTTTATTGAGCAGTTTGGATACAGTCTTTCTGTAGAATCTGCAAAAAATATTTGCGAGCCCTTTATTGCCTATGGTGAAATAGGAATCTTCTTCACATATAAACTGGACAGAAGCTTTCTGAGAAACTTCATTGAGATGTGTGCTTTCACCTCACAGAGTTAAACACTTTCTTTTGATTGAGCTGTTTGGAAACACTCTTTTCGTGAAATCTGTAAATGGATATTAGGAGTGCTTTGAGGCCAATGGTGGCAAAGGAAATATCTTCTCATAAAAACTAAAGAGAAGAATTCTGAGAAACTTCATTCTGATGTGTGCATTCACCTCACAGAATTTAAGCTTTCTTTTGATTGAGCAGTATGGAAATGGTTGTCTTTTAGAATCTGGAAAGGGATATTTCTTAGCCCTTTGAGGCCTACGGTGAAACTGGAAATATCTTTACATGAAAACTAGACCAAAGCATTCTGAGGAACTTCTTTGTGATGTCTTCATTCATCTGACAGAGTTGAAGGTTTCTTTTAATTCACACTTTTGAAACCATATTTTTGTAGAATCTGCAAAGGGATATTTTTGAGACATTTGAAGCTTATAGTGACATAGTAAATATTGTCACATAAAAACTAGACAGGAGCTCTCTGAGAAACTTCTTTGTGATGTGTGCATTCATCTCACAGTGTTGAAACTTTATTTTATTTGAGCAGTTTAGAGACAGTCTTTTTCTGCAATCTGCAAAGGCATATTTCTGAGCCATTTGAGGTCTGTGGTGAAAGAGAAATATCTTCACATTTAAACTAGACAGAAGAATTCTGAGAAACTTCTTTGTGATGAGTCTATTCATCTCACAGAGTTGAAACATTCTTTGATGGACCAGTTTGGAAACAGTCTTTTTATAGTATCTGCAGAGGGATATTTTTGAGCGGTTTAAAGACTATGGTGAAAAAGGAAATATCTTCACATAATAACTAGACAGAAGATTTCTGAGAAACTTTTCTGTGATGTGTGCTTTCATCTCACAGAGTTGAAAATTTCTTTTGATTGAGCAGTTTGGAAACAGTCTTTTCGTATCATCTGCAAAGGGATGTTTGGAGCGCTTTGTGGCCTGAGGTGAAAATGCAAATATCTTCACATAAAATCTAGACAGAAGCATTCTGAGAAACTTCTTTGTGATGTGTTCATTCATCTCACAATGTTGAACGTTTCTTTTGATTGAGAGGTTTGTAAACAGAACTTTTGTAGAATCTGCAAAGGGATATTTGTGAGCCCCTTGATTCCTATGGCAAAATAGTAATTATCTTGAGATAAAAACTAGACAGGAGAATTCTTAGAAACTTCTCTTTGATGAGTGCATTCATTTCACATAGTTGAAACATGCTATATGGGCCAGTTTGGAAACAGTCTTTTTGTAGTGTCTGCAGACAGATATTTTTGAGTGGCTTAAAGACTGTGGTGAAAAAAGAAATATCTTAACAGAATAACCAGACAGAAGCTTTCTGAGAAACTTCTTTGTGATGTGTGCTTTCGTCTCACAGAGTTGAGCCTTTCTGTTGATTGACCAGTTTGGAAACATTATTTCTGTAGAATCCGCAAATGGATATTTGGAGCAATTTGCGGCCTATGGTGAAGAAGGAAATATCTTCACATAAAAACTAGACAGAAGCATTTTGAGAAACTTCTTTTTGATGTGTGTATTCATCTCACAGAGTTGAACGTTTCTTTTGATTTTGCAATTTGGAGAAAGTCTCTTGGTAGTATAAGCAGAGTTATGTTTGTGAGTGGTTTAAGGCCTACGGTGCCAAAGGAAATACCTTCACATAAAATGTAGACAGAAGCTTTTTGAGAAAACTCTTTGTGACATTTCCATTCATCTCTAATAGTTGACCATTTCTTTTCATTGAGCAGTTTGGAAACAGTCTTTTCCTACAAACTGCAAAGGGATATTTCTGAGCCGTTTGGGGTCAATGGTGAAAAATAAATATCTTCACATGAAAACTAGACAGAAGCTTTCTGACAAATTTCTTTGTGATGTGCACGTTTGTCACACGGAATTGAACCTTTCTTCTGATTGAGCAGTTTGGAATCCGTCTTTTTGTAGAATCTGTGAATGTATATTTAGAGAGTTTTAAGGCCTAGAGTGAAAAAGGAAACGTCTTCACATAAAAACGACACAGTAGCTTTCTAAGAAACTTCTTTGTGATGTGTCCATTCATCTCACAGAGTTAAACCTTTCTTTTGATTGAGGAGTTTGGAAAATGTCTTCTCTTAGAATCTGCAAAGGGATATTTGTGAGCCCTTTATGGCCTATGTTGAAATATGAAATATCTTCACATAAAAACTAGACAGAAGATTTCTGAAAAACTTCTTTGTGATGTGTGAATTCATGTCACAGAATTCAACCTTTCTTTCGATTGAGCAGTTTGGAAACAGTCTTTTGTAGAAGCTGCAAAGGGAAATTTCTTAGCCGTTTGAGGCCTATAGTGAAAAAGAAATATCTTCACATAAAAACTAGACAGAAGATTTCTGAGAAACTTCTTTGTGATGTGTGCCTTCATCTCACTGTGTTGAACCTTTCTTTTGATTGAGCAGTTTGGGAAGTCTTTCTGTAGAATCTGCAAATGGATATTTGGAGATATTTGAGGCCCTTGGTGATAAAGGAAGTATCTTCACATAAAAACTAGACAGAATCATTCCGAGAAATTTTTTGTGATGTGTCCATTCACGTCACAGAGTTGAACCTTTCCTTTGATTGAGCAGTTTAGAAACAGTCTTTGTGTAGAACCTGCAAACAGATATTTGTGAGCCCCTTATGGCCTGTGGTGAAATATGAAATATCTTCACATAAAAACTAGACAGGAGCTTTCTGAGAAACTCCCTTGTGATGTGTGCATTCACCTCACAGAGTTGAAACTTTCTTTTGATTGAGCAGATTGGAAAGAGGCTTATTGTACAATCTGCAAAGGGAGAATTCTGATCCGTTTGAGGCTAATGGTGAAAGAGAAACATACTTCCCATAAAAACTAGACGGAACGCTTTCTAAGAAACTTCGTTGTGATGTGTGCTTTCGTCTCACAGAATTGAAACTATCCTTTGATTGAGGAGTTTGGAAACACTCTTTTTCTAGAATATGCAAATGGATATTTGGAGAGCTTTTGAGGCCCGTGGTGAAAAACGAAATATCTTCACGTAAAAACTAAACAGAAGCATTCTGAGGAACTTCTTTGTGATGTGTGCATTCATCTCACATAGTTGAAACTTTCTTTGGATTGAGCAGTTTTGAAACAGTCCTTTTGTAGAATCTGCCAAGGGATATTTCTGAGCCCATTGAGCACTATGATGCACTGTGAAGTATCTTCACATAAAAACTAGACAGAAGTTTCCTGAGAAACTACTCTTTGATGTGTCCATTAATCTAACAGAGTTGAAACTTTCTTTTTATTGAGCAGTTTGGATACGGTCTTTTTGTAGAATCTGCAAAAAATATTTGTGAGCCCTTTATTGCCTATGGTGAAGTAGGAATTTTCTTCACATATAAACTAGACAGAAGCTTTCTGAGAAACTTCTTTGAGATGTGTGCTTTCACCTCACAGAGTTAAACACTTTCTTTTGATTGAGCTGTTTGGAAACACTCTTTTTGTGAAATCTGTAAATGGATATTAGGAGGGCTTTGAGGCCAATTGTGACAAAGGAAATATCTTCACGTAAAAACTAAACAGAAGAATTCTGAAAACTTTCATTCTGACGTGGGCATTAACCTCAGAGAATTTAACTTTCTTTTGATTGAGAAATATGGAAACGGTCGTCTTTTAGAATCTGGAAAGGGATATTTCTTAGCCCTTTGAGGCATATGGTGAAACTGGAAATATCTTCACATGAAAAGTAGACCGAAGCATTCTGAGGAACTTCTTTGTGAGGTCTCCATTCATCTGACAGAGTTGAAAGTTTCTTTTAATTCAGCACTTTGGAAACCATATTTTTGTAGAATCTGCAAAGGGATATTTTTGAGACATTTGAAGCCTATAGTGAAATAGTAAATATCTTCACATAAAAACTAGACAGGAGCTTTCTGAGAAACTTCTTTGTGATGTGGTGCATTCATCTCACAGTGTTGAAACTTTATTTTGTTTGAGCAGTTCAGAAACAGTCTTTTTCTGCAATCTGCAAAGGTATATTTCTGAGACATTTGAGGTCTATGGTGAAAAAGAGATATCTTCACATTTTAACTAGACAGAAGAATTCTGAGAAACTTCTTTATGATGTGTGCATTCATCTCAGGTAGGCGAAATTTTCTTTTGATGGAGCAGTTTGGAAACAGTCTTTTTCTAGTATCTGCAGAAGGATATTTGTGAGCGGTGTAAGGACTATGGTGAAAAAGGAAATATCTTCACATAAAAACTAGACAGAAGATTTCTGAGAAACTTTTTTGTGATGGTTGCTTTCATCTCACAGAGTTGAAAATTTCTTTTGATTGAGCAGTTTGGAAACAGTCTTTTCGTATCATCTGCAAAGGGATGTGTGGAGCGCTCTGTGGCCTAAGGTGAAAATGGAAATATCTTCACATAAAATCTAGACAGAAGCATTCTGAGAAACTTCTTTGTGATGTGTTCATTCATCTCACAATGTTGAAGGTTTCTTTTGATTGAGAGGTTTGTAAACAGAACTTTTGTAGAATCCGCAAAGGGATATTTGTGAGCCCCTTGATTCCTATGGCAAAATAGGAATAATCTTGAGATAAAAACTAGACAGAAGCTTTCTGAGAAACTTCTTTGTGATGTGTGCATTCATCACACAGTGTTGAAACTTTATTTTGTTTGAGCAGTTTAGAAACAGTCTTTTACTGCAATCTGCAAAGGTATATTTCTGAGCCATTTGAGGTCTATGGTGAAAAAGAAATATCTTCACATTGAAACTAGACAGAAGCTTTCTGAGAAACTTTGTAATGTGTGTTTTTGTCTCACAGATTTGAGCCTTTCTTTTGATTGACCAGTTTGGAAACATTCTTTTTGTAGAATCTGCAAATGGATATTTGGAACAATTTGAGACCTATGGTGAAAAAGGAAATATCTTCACATAAAAACTAGACAGAAGCATTTTGAGAAACTTCTTTGTGATGTGTGCATTCTTCTCACAGAGTTGAACCTTTCTTTGGATTTAGCAATTTGGAGAAAGTCTCTTGGTAGTACAAGTGGAGTTATATTTGTGAGCGATTTAAGGCCTATGGTGCAAAAGGAAACACCTTCACATAAAAAGTAGACAGAAGCTTTTTGAGGAAACTCTTTGTGACATTTCCATTCATCTCTAATAGTTGACCATTTCTTTTCATTGAGCAGTTTGGAAACAGTCTTTTCCTACAAACTGCAAAGGGATATTTCTGAGTCGTTTGGGGCCAATGGTGAAAAATAAATATCTTCACATGAAAACTAGACAGAAGCTTTCTGACAAATTTCTTTGTGATGTGCACCGTTTGTCACACGGAGTTGAACCTTTCTTCTGATTGAGCAGTTTGGAATCAGTCTTTTTGTAGAATCTGTGAATGTATATTTAGAGAGTTTTAAGGCCTAGAGTGAAAAAGGAAACGTCTTCACATAAAAACGACACAGTAGCTTTCTAAGAAACTTCCTTGTGATGTGTCCATTCATCTCACAGAGATAAACCTTTCTTTTGATCAAGGAGTTTGGGAAATGTCTTTTCTTAGAATCTGCAAAGGGATATTTGTGAGCCCTTTATGGCCTATGTTGAAATATGAAATATCTTCACATAAAAACTAGACAGAAGATTTCTGAAAAACCTCTTTGTGATGTGTGAATTCATGTCACAGAATTCAACCTTCCTTTCAGTTGAGCAGTTTGGCACCAGTCTTTTGTAGAACCTGCAGAGGGAAATTTCTTAGCTGCTTGAGGCCTATGGTGAACAAGAAATAGCCTCACATAAAAAGTAGACAGAAGATTTCTGAGAAACTTCTTTGTGATGTTTGCTTTCGTCTCACAGTGTTGAACCTTTCTTTTGATTGAGCAGTTTGGAAAGTCTTTTTGTAGAATCTGCAAATGGATATTTGGAGCTATTTGAGGCCCATGGTGAAAAAGGAAGTATCTTCACATAAAAACTAGACAGAATCATTCCGAGAAATTTTTTGTGATGTGTCCATTCACGTCACAGAGTTGAACCTTTCTTTTGATTGAGCAGTTTGGAAACAGTCTTTTTGTAGAACCTGCAAAGGGATATTTGTGAGCCCCTTATGGCCTGTGGTGAAATACGAAATATATTCACATAAAAACTAGACAGGAGCTTTCTGAGAAACTCCCTTGTGATGTGTGCATTCACCTGACAGAGTTGAAACTTTCTTTTGAATGAGCAGATTGGAAAGAGGCTTATTGTACAATCTGCAAAGGGAGAATTCTGATCCGTTTGAGGCTTCTGGTGAAAGAGAAACATCTTCCCACAAAATCTAGACGGAAGCTTTCTAAGAAACTTCGTTGTGATGTGTGCTTTCATCTCACAGAATTGAAACTTTCTTTTGATTGAGGAGTTTGGAAACCCTCTTTTTCTAGAATCTGCAAATGGATAATTGGAGAGCTTTTGAGGCCCATGTTGAAAAACGAAACATCTTCACGTAAAAACTAAACAGAAGCATTCTGAGAAACTTCTTTGTGATGTGTGCATTAATCTCACAGAGTTGAAACTTTCTTTGGATTGAGCAGTTTGGAAACAGTCTTTTTGTAGAATCTGCAAAGGGATATTTCTGAGTCCATTGAGTACTATGGAGAAATGTGAAATATCTTCACATAAAAACTAGACAGAAGTTTTCTGAGAAACTACTCTTTTATGTGTCCATTAATCTAACAGAGTTGAAACTTTCTTTTTATTGAGCAGTTTGGATACGGTCTTTTTGTAGAATCTGCAAAAAATATTTGTGAGCCCTTTATTGCCTATGGTGAAGTAGGAATTTTCTTCACATATAAACTAGACAGAAGCTTTCTGAGAAACTTCTTGGAGATGTGTGCTTTCACCTCACAGAGTTAAACACTTTCTTTTGATTGAGCTGTTTGGAAACACTCTTTTTGTGAAATCTGTAAATGGATATTAGGAGTGCTTCGAGGCCAATGGTGACAAAGGAAATATCTTCACATAAAAACTAAACAGAAGAATTCTGAGAAACTTCATTCTGACGTGGGCATTAAACTCAGAGAATTTAACCTTTCTTTTGATTGAGAAGTATGGAAACGGTCGTCTTTTAGAATCTGGAAAGGGATATTTCTTAGCCCTTTGAGGCCTACGGTGAAACTGGAAATATCTTCACATGAAAAGTAGACCGAAGAATACTGAGTAACTTCTTTGTGATGTCTCCATTCATCTGACAGAGTTGAAGGTTTCTTTTAATTCAGCACTGTGGAAACCGTATTTTTGTAGAATCTGCAAAGGGATATTTTTGAGACCTTTGAAGCCTATAGTGAAATAGTAAATATCTTCACATAGAAACTAGACAGGAGATTTCTGAGAAACTTCTTTGTGATGTGTGCATTCATCTCACAGTGTTGAAACTTTATTTTGTTTGAGCAGTTTAGAAACAGTCTTTTCCTGCATTCTGCAAAGGTGTATTTCTGAGCCATTTGAGGTCTATGTGAAAAAGAAATATCTTCACATTTAAACTAGACAGAAGAATTCTGAGAAACTTCTTTGTGATGTGTGCATTCATCTCAGAGAGGTGAACTTTTCTTTTGATGGAGCAGTTTGGAAACAGTATTTTTTTAGTATCTGCAGAAGGATATTTGTGAGCAGTTTAAGGCCTATGGTGAAAAAGGAAATATCTTCACATAAAAACTAGACAGGAGATTTCTGAGAAACTTTTTTGTGATGAGTGCTTTCATCTCACAGAGTTGAAAATTTCTTTTGATTGAGCAGTTTGGAAACAGTCTTTTCGTATCATCTGCAAAGGGATGTTTGGAGCGCTTTGTGGCCTAAGGTGAAAATGGAAATATCTTCACATAAAATCTAGACAGAAGCATTCCGAGAAACTTCTTTGTGATGTGTGCATTCATCTCACAATGTTGAACGTTTCTTTTGATTGAGCAGTTTGGAAACAGAACTTTTGTAGAATCTGCAAAGGGATATTTGTGAGCCCATTGATTCCTATGGCAAAATAGGAATTATCTTGAGATAAAAACTAGACAGAAGAATTCGGAGAAACTTCTCTTTGATGAGTGCATTCATTTCACATAGTTGAAACATGCTATATGGGCCAGTTTGAAAACAGACTTTTTGTAGTGTCTGCAGACAGATATTTTTGAGTGGCTTAAAGACTGTGGTGAAAAAAGAAATATCTTCACAGAGTAACCAGACAGAGGCTTTCCGAGAAACTTCTTTGTGATGTGTGCTTTCGTCTCACAGAGTTGCGCCTTTCTTTTGATTGACCAGTTTGGGAACATTCTTTTTGTAGAATCTGCAAATGGATATTTGGAGCAATTTGTGGCCTACGGTGAAAAAGGAAATATCTTCACAGAAAAACTAGACAGGAGCATTTTGAGAAACTTCTTTTTGATGTGTGTATTCTTCTCACAGAGTTGAACGTTTCTTTTGATTTAGCAATTTGGAGAAAGTCTCTTGGTAGTATAAGCGGAGTTATGTTTGTGAGTGGTTTAAGGCCTACGGTGCCAAAGGAAATACCTTCACATAAAATGTAGACAGAAGCTTTTTGAGAAAACTCTTTGTGACATTTCCATTCATCTCTAATAGTTGACCATTTCTTTTCATTGAGCAGTTTGGAAACAGTCTTTTCCTACAAACTGCAAAGGGATATTTCTGAGCCGTTTGGGGCCAATGGTGAAAAATAACCATCTTCACATGAAAACTAGACATAAGGTTTCTGACAAATTTCTTTGTGATGTGCACGTTTGTCACACGGAATTGAACCTTTCTTCTGATTGAGCAGTTTGGAATCAGTCTTTTTGTAGAATCTGTGAATGCATATTTAGAGAGTTTTAAGGCCTAGAGTGAAAATGGAAACGTCTTCACATAAAAACGACACAGTAGCTTTCTGAGAAACTTCTTTGTGATGTGTCCATTCATCGCACAGAGTGGAACCTTTCTTTTGATTGAGGAGTTTGGAAAATGTCTTTTCTTAGAATCTGCAAAGGGATATTTGTGAGCCCTTTATGGCCTTTGTTGAAATATGAAATATCTTCACATAAAAAGTAGACAGAAGATTTCTGAAAAACCTCTTTGTGATGTGTGAATTCATGTCACAGAATTCAACCTTCCTTTCAGTTGAGCAGTTTGGAACCAGTCTTTTGTAGAAGCTGCAGAGGAAATTTCTTAGCTGCTTGAGGCCTATGGTGAACAAGAAATAGCCTCACATAAAAACTAGACAGAAGATTTCTGAGAAACTTCTTTGTGATGTGTGCCTTCATCTCACTGTGTTGAACCTTTCTTTTGATTGAGCAGTTTGGGAAGTCTTTCTGTAGAATCTGCAAATGGATATTTGGAGATATTTGAGGCCCTTGGTGAAAAAGGAAGTATCTTCCCACAAAAACTAGACAGAATCATTCCAAGAAATTTTCTGTGATGTGTCCATTCACGTCACAGAGTTGAACCTTTCTTTTGATTGAGCAGTTTGGAAACAGTCTTTTTGTAGAACCTGCAAAGGGATATTTGTGAGCCCCTTATGGCCTGTGGTGAAATACGAAATATCTTCACATAAAAACTAGACAGGAGCTTTCTGAGAAACTCCCTTGTGATGTGTGCATTCACCTCAGAGAGTTGAAACTTTCTTTTGATTGAGCAGATTGGAAAGAGGCTTATTGTACAAACTGCAAAGGGAGAATTCTGATCCGTTTGAGGCTTATGGTGAAAGAGAAACATCTTCCCATAAAAACTAGACGGAAGCTTTCTAAGAAACTTCTTTGTGATGTGTGCTTTCATCTCACAGAATTGAAACTTTCTTTTGATTGAGGAGTTTGGAAACACTCTTTTTCTAGAATCTGCAAATGGATATTTGGAGAGCTTTTGAGGCCCATGGTGAAAAACGAAATATCTTCACATAAAAACTAAACAGAAGCATTCTGAGGAACTTCTTTGTGATGTGTGCATTCATCTCACATAGTTGAAACTTTCTTTGAATTGAGCAGTTTTGAAACACTCCTTTTGTAGAATCTGCCAAGGGATATTTCTGAGCCCATTGAGTACTATGATGCACTGTGAAGTATCTTCACATAAAAACTAGACAGAAGTTTTCTGAAAAACTACTTTTCGATGTGTCCATTAATCAAACAGAGTTAAAACTTTCTTTTTATTGAGCAGTTTGGATACAGTCTTTTTGTAGAATCTGCAAAAAATATTTGCGAGCCCTTTATTGCCTATGGTGAAATAGGAATCTTCTTCACATATAAACTAGACAGAAGCTTACTGAGAAACTTCTTTGAGATGTGTGCTTTCACCTCACAGAGTTAAACACTTTCTTTTGATTGAGCTGTTTGGAAACACTCTTTTTGTGAAATCTGTAAATGGATATTAGGAGTGCTTTGAGGCCAATTGTGACAAAGGAAATATCTTCACATAAAAACTAAACAGAAGAATTCTGAGAAACTTCATTCTGATGTGTGCATTAACCTCACAGAATGTAACCTTTCTTTTGATTGAGAAGTATGGAAACGGTCGTCTTTTAGAATCTGGAAAGGGATATTTCTTAGCCCTTTGAGGCCTACGGTGAAACTGGAAATATCTTCACATGAAAAGTAGACCGAAGCATTCTGAGGAACCTCTTTGTGATGTCTCCATTCATTTGACAGAGTTGAATGCTTCTTTTAATTCAGAAGTTCGGCAACCATATTTTTGTAGAATCTGCAAAGGGATATTTGTGAGACATTTGAAGCCTATAGTGAAATAGTAAATATCTTCACATAAAAACTAGACAGAAGCTTTCTGAGCAACTTCTTTGTGATGTGTGCATTCATCTCACAGTGTTGAAACTTTATTTTATTTGAGCAGTTTAGAGACAGTCTATTTCTGCAATCTGCAAAGGCATATTTCTGAGCCATTTGAGGTCTGTGGTGAAAGAGAAATATCTTCACATTTAAACTAGACAGAAGAAGTCTGAGAAAATTCTTTGTGATGTGTGCATTCACCTCAGAGAGGTGAACTTTTCTTTTGATGGAGCAGTTTGGAAACAGTCTTTTTATAGTATCTGCAGAAGGATATTTGTGAGCAGTTTAAGGCCTGTGGTGAAAAAGGAAATATCTTCACATAAAAACTAGACAGAAGATTTCTGAGAAACTTTTTTGTGATGGGTGCTTTCATCTCACAGAGTTGAAAATTTCTTTTGATTGAGCAGTTTGGAAACAGTCTTTTCGTATCATCTGCAAAGGGATGTGTGGAGCGCTTTGTGGCCTAAGGTGAAAATGGAAATATCTTCACATAAAATCTAGACAGAAGCATTCTGAGAAACTTCTTTGTGATGTGTTCATTCATCTCACAATGTTGAACGTTTCTTTTGATTGAGAGGTTTGTAAACAGAACTTTTGTAGAATCTGCAAAGGGATATTTGTGAGCCCCTTGATTCCTATGGCAAAATAGGAATTCTCTTGAGATAAAAACTAGACAGAAGAATTCGGAGAAACTTCTCTTTGATGAGTGCATTCATTTCACATAGTTGAAACATGCTATATGGGCCAGTTTGGAAACAGTCTTTTTGTAGTGTCTGCAGACAGATATTTTTGAGTGGCTTAAAGACTGTGGTGAAAAAAGAAATATCTTCACAGAGTAACCAGACAGAAGCTTTCTGAGAAACTACTTTGTGATGTGTGCTTTCGTCTCACAGAGTTGAGCCTTTCTGTTGATTGACCAGTTTGGAAACATTCTTTCTGTAGAATCCGCAAATGGATATTTGGAGCAATTTGCGGCCTACGGTGAAGAAGGAAATATCTTCACATAAAAACTAGACAGAAGCATTTTGAGAAACTTCTTTTTGATGTGTGTATTCATCTCACAGAGTTGAACGTTTCTTTTGATTTAGCAATTTGGAGAAAGTCTCTTGGTAGTATAAGCGGAGTTATGTTTGTGAGTGGTTTAAGGCCTACGGTGCCAAAGGAAATACCTTCACATAAAATGCAGACAGAAGGTTTTTGAGAAAACTCTTTGTGACATTTCCATTCATCTCTAATAGTTGACCATTTCTTCTCATTGAGCAGTTTGGAAACAGTCTTTTCCTACAAACTGCAAAGGGACATTTCTGAGCCGTTTGGGGCCAATGGTGAAAAATAAATATCTTCACATGAAAACTAGACAGAAGGTTTCTGACAAATTTCTTTCTGATGTGCACGTTTGTCACACGGAACTGAACCTTTCTTCTGATTGAGCAGTTTGGAATCAGTCTTTTTGTAGAATCTGTGAATGCATATTTAGAGAGTTTTAAGGCCTAGAGTGAAAATGGAAACGTCTTCACATAAAAACGACACAGTAGCTTTCTAAGAAACTTCTTTGTGATGTGTCCATTCACCTCACAGAGTTAAACCTTTCTTTTGATTGAGGAGTTTGGAAAATGTCTTTTCTTAGAATCTACAAAGGGATATTTGTGAGCCCTTTATGGCCTATGTTGAAATATGAAATATCTTCACATAAAAAATAGACAGAAGATTTCTGAGAAACTTCTTTGTGATGTGTGAATTCATGTCACAGAATTCAACCTTTCTTTCGATTGAGCAGTTTGGAAACAGTCTTTTGTAGAAGGTGCAAAGGGAAATTTCTTAGCTGATTCAGGCCTATGGTGAAAAAGAAATAACTTCACATAAAAACCAGACAGAAGATTTCTGAGAAACTTCTTTGTGATGTGTGTCTTCATCTCCCTGTGTTGAACCTTTCTTTTGATTGAGCAGTTTGGGAAGTCTTTGTGTAGAATCTGCAAATGGATATTTGGAGATATTTGAGGCCCTTGGTGAAAAAGCAAGTATCTTCACATAAAAACTAGACAGAATCATTCCAAGAAATTGTTTGTGATGTGTCCATTCACGTCACAGAGTTGAACCTTTCTTTTGATTGAGCAGTTTGGAAACACTCTTTTTGTAGAACCTGCAAAGGGATTTTTGTGAGCGCCTTATGGCCTGTGGTGAAATACGAAATATCTTCACATAAAAACTAGACAGGAGCTTTCTGAGAAACTCCCTTGTGATGTGTGCATTCACCTCACAGAGTTGAAACTTTCTTTTGATTGAGCAGATTGGAAAGAGGCTTATTGTACAATCTGCAAAGGGAGAATTCTGATGCGTTTGAGGCTTATGGTGAAAGAGAAACATATTCCCATAAAAACTAGACGGAAGCTTTCTAAGAAACTTCGGTGTGATGTGTGTTTTCATCTCACGGAATTGAAACTTTCTTTTGATTGAGGAGTTTGGAAACACTCTTTTTCTAGAATCTGCAAATGGATATTTGGAGAGCTTCTGAGGCCCATGTTGAAAAACGAAACATCTACACGTAAAAACTAAACAGAAGCATTCTGAGGAACTTCTTTGTGATGTGTGCATTCATCACACATAGTTGAAACTTTCTTTGGATTGAGCAGTTTTGAAACAGTCCTTTTGTAGAATCTGCCAAGGGATATTTCTGAGCCCATTGAGTACTATGATGCACTGTGAAGTATCTTCACATAAAAACTAGACAGAAGTTTTCTGAGAAACTACTTTTCGATGTGTCCGTTAATCTAACAGAGTTAAAACTTTCTTTTTATTGAGCAGTTTGGACACAGTCTTTTTGTAGAATCTGCAAAACATATTTGTGAGCCCTTTATTGCCTATGGTGAAATAGGAATCTTCTTCACATATAAACTAGACAGAAGCTTTCTGAGAAACTTCATTGAGATGTGTGCTTTCACCTCACAGAGTTAAACACTTTCTTTTGATTGAGCTGTTTGGAAACACTCTTTTTGTGAAATCTGTAAATGGATATTAGGAGTGCTTTGAGGCCAATGGTGACAAAGGAAATATCTTCTCATAAAAACTAAACAGAAGAATTCTGAGAAACTTCATTCTGATGTGCGCATTAACCTCAGAGAATTTAACCTTTCTTTTGATTGACAAGTATGGAAACGGTCGTCTTTTAGAATCTGGAAAGGGATATTTCTTAGCCCTTTGAGGCCTACGGTGAAACTGGAAATATCTTCACAGGAAAAGTAGACCGAAGAATTCTGAGGAACTTCTTTGTGATGTCTCCATTCATCTGACAGAGTTGAAGGTTTCTTTTAATTCAGCACTTTGGAAACCATATTTTTGTAGAATCTGCAAAGGGATATTTTTGAGACATTTGAAGCCTATAGTGAAATAGTAAATATCTTCACATAAAAACTAGACAGGAGCTTTCTGAGAAACTTCTTTGTGATGTGTGCATTCATCTCACAGTGTTGAAACTTTATTTTATTTGAGCAGTTTGGAGACAGTCTTTTTCTGCAATCTGCAAAGGCATATTTCTGAGCCATTTGAGGTCTGTGGTGAAAGAGAAATATCTTCACATTTAAACTAGACAGAAGGATTCTGAGAAACTTCTTTATGATGTGTGCATTCATCTCAGGTAGGTGAAATTTTCTTTTGATGGAGCAGTTTGGAAACAGTCTTTTTCTAGTATCTGCAGAAGGATATTTGTGAGCGGTGTGAGGACTATGCTGAAAAAGGAAATATCTTCACATAAAAACTAGACAGAAGATTTCTGAGAAACTTTTTTGTGATGTGTGCTCTCATCTCACAGAGTTGAAAATTTCTTTTGATTGAGCAGTTTGGAAACAGTCCTTTCGTATCATCTGCAAACGGATGTTTGGAGCGCTTTGTGGCCTAAGGTGAAAATGGAAACATCTTCACATAAAAACTAGACAGAAGCATTCTGAGAAACTTCTTTGTGATGTGTGCATTCATCTTACAATGTTGAACGTTTCTTTTGATTGAGCAGTTTGGAAACAGAACTTTTGTAGAATCTGCAAAGGGATATTTGTGAGCCCATTGATTCCTATGGTGAAATAGGAATTATCTTGAAATAAAAAAAAGGCAGAAGAATTCGGAGAAACTTCTCTTTGATGAGTGCATTCAATTCACATAGTTGTAACATGCTATATGGGCCAGTTTGGAAACAGTCTTTTTGTAGTGTCTGCAGACAGATATTTTTGAGTGGCTTAAAGCCTGTGGTGAAAAAAGAAATATCTTCACAGAGTAACCAGACAGAAGCTTTCTGAGAAACTCCTTTGTGATGTGTGCTTTCGTCTCACAGAGTTGAGCCTTTCTGTTGATTGACCAGTTTGGAAACATTCTTTCTGTAGAATCCGCAAATGGATATTTGGAGCAATTTGCGGCCTACTGTGAAGAAGGAAATATCTTCACATAAAAACTAGACAGAAGCATTTTGAGAAACTTCTTTTTGATGTGTGTATTCATCTCACAGAGTTGAACGTTTCTTTTGATTTAGCAATTTGGAGAAAGTCTCTTGGTAGTATAAGCGGAGTTATGTTTGTGAGTGGTTTAAGGCCTACGGTGCCAAAGGAAATACCTTCACATAAAATGTAGACAGAAGCTTTTTGAGAAAACTCTTTGTGACATTTCCATTCATCGCTAATAGTTGACCATTTCTTTTCATTGAGCAGTTTGGAAACAGTCTTTTCCTACAAACTGCAAAGGGATATTTCTGAGCCGTTTGGGGCCAATGGTGAAAAATAAATATCTTCACATGAAAACTAGACAGAAGCTTTCTGAGAAACTCCTCTGTGTTGTGCACGTTTGTATCACAGAGTTGAACCTTTCATTTGATTGAGCAGTTTGGAAACAGTCTTTTTGTAGAATCTGCAAATGTATATTTGGAGTGTTTTAAGGCCTATAGTGAAAAAGGAAATATCTTCACATAAAAACTACACAGTAGCTTTCTGAGAAACTTCTTTGTGATGTGTCCATTCATTGCACAGAGTGAAACCTTTCTTTTGATTGAGGAGTTTGGAAAATGTCTTTTCTTAGAATCTGCAAAGGGATATTCGTGAGCCCTTTATGGCCTTTGTTGAAATATGAAATATCTTCACATAAAAAGTAGACAGAAGATTTCTGAAAAACCTCTTTGTGATGTGTGAATTCATGTCACAGAATTCAACCTTCCTTTCAGTTGAGCAGTTTGGAACCAGTCTTTTGTAGAAGCTGCAGAGGGAAATTTCTTAGCTGCTCGAGGCCTATGGTGAACAAGAAATAGCCTCACATAAAAAGTAGACAGAAGATTTCTGAGAAACTTCTTTGTGATGTGTGCCTTCATCTCACTGTGTTGAACCTTTCTTTTGATTGAGCAGTTTGGGAAGTCTTTCTGTAGAATCTGCAAATGGATATTTGGGGATATTTGAGGCCCTTGGTGAAAAAGGAAGTATCTTCACATAAAAACTAGACAGAATCATTCCAAGAAATTTTCTGCGATGTGTCCATTCACGTCACAGAGTTGAACCTTTCTTTTGATTGAGCAGTTTGGAAACAGTCTTTTTGTAGAACCTGCAAAGGGATATTTGTGAGCCCCTTATGGCCTGTGGTGAAATACGAAATATCTTCACATAAAAACTAGACAGGAGGTTTCTGAGAAACTCTCTTGTGATGTGTGCATTCACCTCACAGAGTTGAAACTTTCTTTTGATTGAGCAGATTGGAAAGAGTCTTATTGTACAATCTGCAAAGGGAGAATTCTGATCCGTTTGAGGCTTATGGTGAAAGAGAAACATATTCCCATAAAAACTAGACGGAAGCTTTCTAAGAAACTTCGTTGTGATGTGTGCTTTCATCTCACGGAATTGAAACTTTCTTTGCATTGAGGAGTTTGGAAACACTCTTTTTCTAGAATCTGCAAATGGATATTTGGAGAGCTTCTGAGGCCCATGTTGAAAAACGAAACATCTTCACGTAAAAACTAAACAGAAGCATTCTGAGGAACTTCTTTGTGATGTGTGCATTCATCTCACATAGTTGAAACTTTCTTTGTATTGAGCAGTTTTGAAACAGTCCTTTTGTAGAATCTGCCAAGGGATATTTCTGAGCCCATTGAGTACTATGATGCACTGTGAAGTATCTTCACATAAAAACTAGACAGAAGATTTCTGAGAAACTACCTTTCGATGTGTCCATTAATCTAACAGAGTTAAAACTTTCTTTTCATTGAGCAGTTTGGATACAGTCTTTTTGTAGAATCTGCAAAAAATATTTGCGAGCCCTTTATTGCCTATGGTGAAATAGGAATCTTCTTCACATATAAACTAGACAGAAGCTTTCTGAGAAACTTCTTGGAGATGTGTGCTTTCACCTCACAGAGTTAAACACTTTCTTTTGATTGAGCTGTTTGGAAACACTCTTTTTGTGAAATCTGTAAATGGATATTAGCAGGGCTTTGAGGCCAATGGTGACAAAGGAAATATCTTCACATAAAAACTAAACAGAAGAATTCTGAGAAACTTCATTCTGACGTGGGCATTAACCTCAGAGAATTTAACCTTTCTTTTGATTGAGAAGTATGGAAACGGTCGTCTTTTAGAATCTGGAAAGGGATATTTCTTAGCCCTTTGAGGCCTCCGGTGAAACTGGAAATATCTTCACATGAAAAGTAGACCGAAGCATTCTGAGGAACTTCTTTGTGATGTCTCCATTCATCTGACAGAGTTGAAAGTTTCTTTTAATTCAGCACTTTGGAAACCATATTTTTGTAGAATCTGCAAAGGGATATTTTTGAGACATTTGAAGCCTATAGTGAAATACTAAATATCTTCACATAAAAACTAGACAGGAGCTTTCTGAGAAACTTCTTTGTGATGTGCGCATTCATCTCACAGTGTTGAGACTTTATTTTATTTGAGCAGTTTAGAGACAGTCTTTTTTTGCAATCTGCAAAGGTATATTTCTGAGCCATTTGAGGTCTATGGTGAAAAAGAAATATCTTCACATTGAAACTAGACAGAAGAATTCTGAGAAACTTCTTTCTGATGTGTGCATTCACCTCAGAGAGGTGAACTTTTCTTTTGATGGAGCAGTTTGGAAACAGTCTTTTTATAGTATCTGCAGAAGGATATTTGTGAGCGGTTTAAGGCCTATGGTGGAAAAGGAAATATCTTCACATAAAAACTAGACAGAAGATTTCTGAGAAACTTTTTTGTGATGTGTGCTTTCATCTCACAGAGTTGAAAATTTCTTTTGATTGAGCAGTTTGGAAACAGTCTTTTCATATAATCTGCAAATGGATATTTGGAGCACTTTGTGGCCTAAGTTGAAAATGGAAATATCTTCACATAAAAACTAGACAGAAGTATTCTGAGAAACTTCTTTGTGATGTGTTCATTCATCTCACAATGTTGAACGTTTCTTTTGATTGAGAGGTTTGTAAACACAACTTTTGTAGAATCTGCAAAGGGATATTTGTGAGCCCCTTGATTCCTATGGCAAAATAGGAATTATCTTGAGATAAAAACTAGACAGAAGAATCCTGAGAAACTTCTTTTTGATGAGTGCATTCATTTCACATAGTTGAAACATGCTATATGGGCCAGTTTGGAAACAGTCTTTTTGCAGAGTCTGCAGTCAGGTATTTTAGAGTGGCTTAAAGACTATGGTGAAAAAGGAAACATCTTCACATAGCAACCAGACAGAAGCTGTCTGAGAAACTTCTTTGTGATGTGTGCTTTCGTCTCACAGAGTTGAGCCTTTCTGTTGATTGACCAGTTTGGAAACATTCTTTCTGTAGAATCCGTAAATGGATATTTGGAGCAATTTGTGGCCTACGGTGAAGAAGGAAATATCTTCACATAAAAACTAGACAGAAGCATTTTGAGAAACTTATTTTTGATGTGTGTATTCATCTCACAGAGTTCAACGTTTCTTTTGATTTAGCAATTTGGAGAAAGTCTCTTGGTAGTATAAGCGGAGTTATGTTTGTGAGTGGTTTAAGGCCTACGGTGCCAAAGGAAATACCTTCACATAAAATGTAGACAGAAGCTTTTTGAGAAAACTCTTTGTGACATGTCCATTCATCTCTAATAGTTGACCATTTCTTCTCATTGAGCAGTTTGGAAACAGTCTTTTCCTACAAACTGCAAAGGGATATTTCTGAGCCGTTTGGGGCCAATGGTGAAAAATAAATATCTTCACATGAAAACTAGACAGAAGCTTTCTGACAAATTTCTTTGTGATGTGCACGTTTGTCACACGGAATTGAACATTTCTTCTGATTGCGCAGTTTGGAATCAGTCTTTTTGTAGAATCTATGAATGTATATTTAGAGAGTTTTAAGGCCTAGAGTGAAAAAGGAAACGTCTTCACATAAAAACGACGCAGTAGCTTTCTAAGAAACTTCTTTGTGATGTGTCCATTCATCTCACAGAGTTAAACCTTTCTTTTGATTGAGGAGTTTGGAAAATGTCTTTTCTTAGAATCTACAAAGGGATATTTGTGAGCCCTTTATGGCCTATGTTGAAATATGAAATATCTTCACATAAAAACTAGACAGAAGATTTCTGAGAAACCTCTTTGTGATGTGTGAATTCATGTCACAGATTTCAACCTTCCTTTCAGTTGAGCAGTTTGGAACCAGTCTTTTGTAGAAGCTGCAGAGGGAAATTTCTTAGCTGCTTGAGGCCTATGGTGAACAAGAAATAGCCTCACATAAAAAGTAGACAGAAGATTTCTGAGAAACTTCTTTGTGATGTGTGCCTTCATCTCACTGTGTTGAACCTTTCTTTTGATTGAGCAGTTTGGGAAGTCTTTCTGTAGAATCTGCAAATTGATATTTGGAGATATTTGAGGCCCTTGGTGAAAAAGGAAGTATCTTCACATAAAAACTAGACAGAATCATTCCAAGAAATTTTTTGTGATGTGTCCATTCACGTCACAGAGTTGAACCTTTCTTTTGATTGAGCAGTTTGGAAACAGTCTTTTTGTAGAACCTGCAAAGGGATATTTGTGAGCCCCTTATGGCCTGTGGTGAAATACGAAATATCTTCACATAAAAACTAGACAGGAGCTTTCTGAGAAACTCCCTTGTGATGTGTGCATTCACCTCACAGAGTTGAAACTTTCTTTTGATTGAACAGATTGGAAAGAGGCTTATTGTACAATCTGCAAAGGGAGAATTCTGATCCGTTTGAGGCTTCTGGTGAAAGTGAAATATCTTCCCATAAAAACTAGACGGAAGCTTTCTAAGAAACTTCGGTGTGATGTGTGCTTTCATCTCACGGAATTGAAACTTTCTTTTGATTGAGGAGTTTGGAAACACTCTTTTTCTAGAATCTGCAAATGGATATTTGGAGAGCTCCTGAGGCCCATGTTGAAAAACGAAACATCTTCACGTAAAAACTAAACAGAAGCATTCTGAGGAACTTCTTTGTGATGTGTGCATTCATCTCACATAGTTGAAACTTTCTTTGGATTGAGCAGTTTTGAAACAGTCCTATTGTAGAATCTGCCAAGGGATATTTCTGAGCCCATTGAGTACTATGCTGCAATGTGAAGTATCTTCACATAAAAACTAGACAGAAGTTTTCTGAGAAACTACTTTTCGATGTGTCCGTTAATCTAACAGAGTTAAAACTTTCTTTTTTTTGAGCAGTTTGGACACAGTCTTTTTGTAGAATCTGCAAAAAATATTTGTGAGCCCTTTATTGCCTATGGTGAAATAGGAATCTTCTTCACATATAAACTAGACAGAAGCTTTCTGAGAAACTTCATTGAGATGTGTGCTTTCACCTCACAGAGTTAAACACTTTCTTTTGATTGAGCTGTTTGGAAACACTCTTTTTGTGAAACTGTAAATGGATATTAGGAGTGCTTTGAGGCCAGTGGTGAAAAAGGAAATATCTTCTCATAAAAACTAAAGAGAAGAATTCTGAGAAACTTCATTCTGACGTGGGCATTAACCTCAGAGAATTTAACCATTCTTTTGATTGAGAAGTATGGAAACGGTCGTCTTTTAGAATCTGCAAAGGGATATTTCTTAGCCCTTTGAGGCCTACGGTGAAACTGGAAATATCTTCACATGAAAAGTAGACCGAAGCATTCCGAGGAACTTCTTTGTGATGTCTCCATTCATCTGACAGAGTTGAAGGTTTCTTTTAATTCAGCACTGTGGAAACCGTATTTTTGTAGAATCTGCAAAGGGATATTTTTGAGACCTTTGAAGCCTATAGTGAAATAGTAAATATCTTCACATAGAAACTAGACAGGAGCTTTCTGAGAAACTTCTTTGTGATGTGTGCATTCATCTCACAGTGTTGAAACTTTATTTTATTTGAGCAGTTTAGAGACAGTCTTTTTCTGCAATCTGCAATGGCATATTTCTGAGCCATTTGAGGTCTGTGGTGAAAGAGAAATATCTTCACATTTAAACTAGACAGAAGAATTCTGAGAAACTTCTTTGTGATGAGTCCATTCATCTCACAGAGTTGAAACATTCTTTGATGGACCAGTTTGGAAACAGTCTTTTTGTAGTATCTGCAGAAGGATATTTTTGAGTGGTTTAAAGACTATGGTGAAAAAGAAAATATCTTCACATAATAACTAGACAGAAGATATCTGAGAAACTTTTTTGTGATGGGTGCTTTCATCTCACAGAGTTGTAAATTTCTTTTGATTGAGCAGTTTGGAAACAGTCTTTTCGTATCATCTGCAAAGGGATGTTTGGAGCGCTTTGTGGCCTAAGGTGAAAATGGAAATATCCTCACATAAAATCTAGACAGAAGCATTCTGAGAAACTTCTTTGTGATGTGTTCATTCATCTCACAATGTTGAACGTTTCTTTTGATTGAGAGGTTTGTAAACAGAACTTTTGTAGAATCCGCAAAGGGATATTTGTGAGCCCCTTGATTCTTATGGCAAAATAGGAATAATCTTGAGATAAAAACTAGACAGAAGAATTCTAAGAAACTTCTCTTTGATGAGTGCATTCCTTTCACATAGTTGAAACATGCTATATGGGCCAGTTTGGAAACAGTCTTTTTGTAGTGTCTGCAGACAGATATTTTTGAGTGGCTTAAAGACTGTGGTGAAAAAAGAAATATCTTCACAGAGTAACCAGACAGAAGCTTTCTGAGAAACTTCTTTGTGATGTGTGCTTTCGTCTCACAGAGTTGAGCCTTTCTGTTGATTGACCAGTTTGGAAACATTCTTTTTGTAGAATCCGCAAATGGATATCTGGAACAATTTGCGGCCTACGGTGAAGAAGGAAATATCTTCACATAAAAACTAGACAGAAGCATTTTGAGAAACTTCTTTTTGATGTGTGTATTCATCTCACAGAGTTGAACGTTTCTTTTGATTTAGCAATTTGGAGAAAGTCTCTTGGTAGTATAAGCGGAGTTATGTTTGTGAGTGGTTTATGGCCTACGGTGCCAAAGGAAATACCTTCACAAAAAATGTAGACAGAAGCTTTTTGAGAAAACTCTTTGTGACATTTCCATTCATCTCTAATAGTTGACCATTTCTTCTCATTGAGCAGTTTGGAAACAGTCTTTTCCTACAAACTGCAAAGGGATATTTCTGAGCCGTTTGGGGCCAATGGTGAAAAATAAATATCTTCACATGAAAACTAGACAGAAGCTTTCTGACAAATTTCTTTGTGATGTGCACGTTTGTCACACGGAATTGAACCTTTCTTCTGATTGAGCAGTTTGGAATCAGTCTTTTTGTAGAATCTGTGAATGTATATTTAGAGAGTTTTAAGGCCTAGAGTGAAAAAGGAAACGGTCTTCACATAAAAACGACACAGTAGCTTTCTGAGAAACTTCTTTGTGATGTGTCCATTCATCGCACAGAGTGGAACCTTTCTTTTGATTGAGGATTTTGGAAAATGTCATTTCTTAGAATCTGCAAAGGGATATTTGTGAGCCCTTTATGGCCTTTGTTGAAATATGAAATATCTTCACATAAAAAGTAGACAGAAGATTTCTGAGAAACCTCTTTGTGATGTGTGAATTCATGTCACAGAATTCAACCTTCCTTTCAGTTGAGCAGTTTGGAACCAGTCTTTTGTAGAAGCTGCAGAGGGAAATTTCTTAGCTGCTTGAGGCCTATGGTGAACAAGAAATAGCCTCACATAAAAAGTAGACAGAAGATTTCTGAAAAACTTCTTTGTGATGTGTGAATTCATGTCACAGAGTTGAAGCTTTCTTGTGATTGAGTAGTTTGGAAACACTCTTTTTGTAGAATCTGCAAAGGGTTATTTATGAGCGGTTTGAGGCCTATGGTGAAAAAGGGAGTATCAGCAAATAAAAACTAGACAGAATCATTCCGAGAAATTTTTTGTGATGTGTCCATTCACGTCACAGAGTTGAACCTTTCTTTTGATTGAGCAGTTTGGAAACAGTCTTTTTGTAGAACCTGCAAAGGGATATTTGTGAGCCCCTTATGGCCTGTGGTGAAATACGAAGTATCTTCACACAAAAACTAGACAGGAGCTTTCTGAGAAACTCCCTTGTGATGTGTGCATTCACCTCACAGAGTTGAAACTTTCTTTTGATTGAGCAGATTGGAAAGAGGCTTATTGTACAATCTGCAAAGGGAGAATTCTGATCCGTTTGAGGCTAATGGTGAAAGAGAAACATCTTCCCATAAAAACTAGACGGAAGCTTTCTAAGAAACTTCGGAGTGATGTGTGCTTTCATCTCACACAATTGAAACTTTCTTTTGACTGAGGAGTTTGGAAACACTCTTTTTCTAGAATCTGCAAGTGGATATTTGGAGAGCTTTTGAGGCCCATGTTGAAAAACGAAACATCTTCATGTAAAAACTAAACAGAAGCACTCTGAGAAACTTCTTTGTGATGTGTGCATTCATCTCACATAGTTGAAACTGTCTTTGGATTGAGTAGTTTGGAAACAGTCCTCTTGTAGAATCTGCAAAGGGATATTTCTGAGCCCATTGAGTACTATGGTGCAATGTGAAATATCTTCACATAAAAACTAGACAGAAGTTTTCTGAGAAATTACCTTTCAATGTGTCCATTAGTCAAACAGAGTTAAAACTTTGTTTTTATTGAGCAGTTTGGATACAGTCTTTTTGTAGAATCTGCAAAAAATATTTGCGAGCCCTTTATTGCCTATGGTGAAATAGGAATCTTCTTCACATATAAACTAGACAGAAGCTTTCTGAGAAACTCCATTGAGATGTGTGCTTTCACCTCACAGAGTTAAACACTTTCTTTTGATTGAGCTGTTTGGAAACACTCTTTTTGTGAAATCTGTAAATGGATATTAGGAGTGCTTTGAGGCCAATGGTGGAAAAGGAAATATCTTCTCATAAAAACTAAACAGAAGAATTCTGAGAAACTTCATTCTGACGTGGGCATTAACCTCAGAGAATTTAACCTTTCTTTGGATTGAGAAGTATGGAAACGGTCGTCTTTTAGAATCTGGAAAGGGATATTTCTTAGCCCTTTGAGGCCTACGGTGAAACTGGAAATATCTTCACATGAAAAGTAGACCGAAGCATTCCGAGGAACTTCTTTGTGATGTCTCTGTTCATCTGACAGAGTTGAAGGTTTCTTTTAATTCAGCACTGTGGAAACCGTATTTTTGTAGAATCTGCAAAGGGATATTTTTGAGACCTTTGAAGCCTATATTGAAATAGTAAATATCTTCACATAGAAACTAGACAGGAGCTTTCTGAGAAACTTCTTTGTGATGTGTGCATTCATCTCACAGTGTTGAAACTTTATTTTATTTGAGCAGTTTAGAGACAGTCTTTTTCTGCAAACTGCAAAGGCATATTTCTGAGCCATTTGAGGTCTGCGGTGAAAGAGAAATATCTTCACATTTAAACTAGACAGAAGAATTCTGAGAAACTTCTTTATGATGTGTGCATTCATCTCAGGTAGGTGAAATTTTCTTTTGATGGAGCAGTTTGGAAACAGTCTTTTTCTAGTATCTGCAGAAGGATATTTGTGAGCGGTGTAAGGACTACGCTGAAAAAGGAAATATCTTCACAAAAAAACTAGACAGAAGATTTCTGAGAAACTTTTTTGTGATGGGTGCTTTCATCTCACAGAGTTGAAAATTTCTTTTGATTGAGCAGTTTGGACACAGTCTTTTCGTATCATCTGCAAAGGGATGTTTGGAGCGCTTTGTGGCCTAAGGTGAAAATGGAAATATCTTCACATAAAATCTAGACAGAAGCATTCTGAGAAACTTCTTTGTGATGTGTTCATTCGTCTCACAATGTTGAACGTTTCTTTTGATTGAGAGGTTTGTAAACAGAACTTTTGTAGGATATGCAAAGGGATATTTGTGAGCCCCTTGATTCCTATGGCAAAATAGGAATTATCTTGAGATAAAAACTAGACAGAAGAATTCTGAGGAACTTCTCTTTGATGAGTGCATTCATTTCACATAGTTGAAACATGCTATATGGGCCAGTTTGGAAACAGTCTTTTTGTAGTGTCTGCAGACAGATATTTTTGAGTGGCTTAAAGACTGTGGTGAAAAAAGAAATATCTTCACAGAGTAACCAGACAGAAGCTTTCTGAGAAACTTCTTTGTGATGTGTGCTTTCGTCTCACAGAGTTGAGCCTTTCTGTTGATTGACCAGTTTGAAACATTCTTTCTGTAGAATCCGCAAATGGATATTTGGAGCAATTTGCGGCCTACGGTGAAGAAGGAAATATCTTCACATAAAAACTAGACAGAAGCATTTTGAGAAACTTCTTTTTGATGTGTGTATTCATCTCACAGAGTTGAACATTTCTTTTGATTTAGCAATTTGGAGAAAGTCTCTTGGTAGTATAAGCGGAGTTATGTTTGTGAGTGGTTTAAGGCCTACGGTGCCAAAGGAAATACCTTCACATAAAATGCAGACAGAAGCTTTTTGAGAAAACTCTTTGTGACATTTCCATTCATCTCTAATAGTTGACCATTTCTTTTCATTGAGCAGTTTGGAAACAGTCTTTTCCTACAAACTGCAAAGGGATATTTCTGAGCCGTTTGGGGCCAATGGTGAAAAATAAATATCTTCACATGAAAACTAGACAGAAGCTTTCTGACAAATTTCTTTGTGATGTGCACGTTTGTCACACGGAATTGAACCTTTCTTCTGATTGAGCAGTTTGGAATCAGTCTTTTTGTAGAATCTGTGAATGTATATTTAGAGAGTTTTAAGGCCTAGAGTGAAAAAGGAAACGTCTTCACATAAAAACGACACAGTAGCTTTCTGAGAAACTTCTTTGTGATGTGTCCATTCATCGCACAGAGTGAAACCTTTCTTTTGATTGAGGAGCTTGGAAAATGTCTTTTCTTAGAATCTGCAAAGGGATATCTGTGAGCCCTTTATGGCCTTTGTTGAAATATGAAATATCTTCACATAAAAAGTAGACAGAAGATTTCTGAAAAACCTCTTTGTGATGTGTGAATTCATGTCACAGAATTCAACCTTTCTTTCAGTTGAGCAGTTTGGAACCAGTCTTTTGTAGAAGCTGCAGAGGGAAATTTCTTAGCTGCTTGAGGCCTATGGTGAACAAGAAATAGCCTCACATAAAAACTAGACAGAAGATTTCTGAGAAACTTCTTTGTGATGTGTGCCTTCATCTCACTGTGTTGAACCTTTCTTTTGTTTGAGCAGTTTGGGAAGTCTTTCTGTAGAATCTGCAAATGGATATTTGGAGATATTTGAGGCCCTTGGTGAAAAAGGAAGTATCTTCACATAAAACTAGACAGAATTATTCCGAGAAATTTTTTGTGATGTGTCCATTCACGTCACAGAGTTGAACTTTCTTTTGATTGAGCAGTTTGGAAACAGTCTTTGTATAGAACCTGCAAAGGGATATTTGTGAGCCCCTTATGGCCTGTGGTGAAATACGAAATATCTTCACACAAAAACTAGACAGGAGCTTTCTGAGAAACTCCCTTGTGATGTGTGCATTCACCTCACAGAGTTGAAACTTTCTTTTGATTGAGCAGATTGGAAAGAGGCTTATTGTACAAACTGCAAAGGGAGAATTCTGATCCGTTTGAGGCTTATGGTGAAAGAGAAACATCTTCCCATAAAAACTAGACGGAAGCTTTCTAAGAAACTTCGTTGTGATGTGTGCTTTCATCTCACAGAATTGAAACTTTCTTTTGATTGAGGAGTTTGGAAACACTCTTTTTCTAGAATCTGCAAATGGATATTTGGAGAGCTTTTGAGGCCCATGTTGAAAAACGAAACATCTTCACGTAAAAACTAAACAGAAGAATTCTGAGAGACTTCTTTGTAATGTGTGTATTTATCTTACAGTGTTAAACCTTTATTTTGATTGAGCTTTTTGGAAACACTCTTTTTGTAGCATCTGCAAGAGTTTATTTTTGAGCTCATTGAGACCTATTTTGAAATATGAAATATCTTCACATAAAAACTAGATAGAAGTTTTCTGAGAAACTACTTTTCGATGTGTCCATTAATCAAACAGAGTTAAAACTTTCTTTTTATTGAGCAGTTTGGATACAGTCTATTTGTAGAATCTGCAAAAAATATTTGCGAGCCCTTTATTGCCTATGGTGAAATAGGAATCTTCTTCACATATAAACCAGACAGAAGCTTTCTGAGAAACTCCATTGAGATGTGTGCTTTCACCTCACAGGAGTTAAACACTTTCTTTTGATTGAGCTGTTTGGAAACACTCTTTTTGTGAAATCTGTAAATGGATATTAGGAGTGCTTTGAGGCCAATGGTGGAAAAGGAAATATCTTCTCATAAAAACTAAACAGAAGAATTCTGAGAAACTTCATTCTGACGTGGGCATTAACCTCAGAGAATTTAACCTTTCTTTTGATTGAAAAGTATGGAAACGGTCGTCTTTTAGAATCTGGAAAGGGATATTTCTTAGCCCTTTGAGGCCTACGGTGAAACTGGAAATATCTTCACATGAAAAGTAGACCGAAGCATTCCGAGGAACTTCTTTGTGATGTCTCCATTCATCTGACAGAGTTGAAGGTTTCTTTTAATTCAGCACTGTGGAAACCGTATTTTTGTAGAATCTGCAAAGGGATATTTTTGGGACCTTTGAAGCCTATAGTGAAATAGTAAATATCTTCACATTGAAACTAGACAGGAGCTTTCTGAGAAACTTCTTTGTGATGTGCGCATTCATCTAACAGTGTTGAAACTTTATTTTGTTTGAGCAGTTTAGAAACAGTCTTTTTCTGCAATCTGCAAAGGCATATTTCTGAGCCATTTGAGGTCTATGGTGAAAAAAGAAATATCTTCACATTTAAAATAGACAGAAGAATTCTGAGAAACTTCTTTATGATGTGTGCATTCATCTCAGGTAGGCGAAATTTTCTTTTGATGGAGCAGTTTGGAAACAGTCTTTTTCTAGTATCTGCAGAAGGATATTTGTGAGCGGTGTAAGGACTATGGTGAAAAAGGGAATATCTTCACATAAAAACTAGACAGAAGATTTCTGAGAAACTTCTTTGTGATGTGTGCTTTCATCTCACAGAGTTGAAAATTTCTTTTGATTGAGCAGTTTGGAAACAGTCTTTTTGTATAATCTGCAAATGGATATTTGGAGCACTTTGTGGCCTAAGGTGAAAATGGAAATATCTTCACATAAAAACTAGACAGAAGCATTCTGAGAAACTTCTTTGTGATGTGTTCATTCATCTCACAATGTTGAACGTTTCTTTTGATTGAGAGGTTTGTAAACAGAACTTTTGTAGAATCTGCAAAGGGATATTTTTGAGCCCCGTGATTCCTATGGCAAAATAGGAATTATCTTGAGATAAAAACTAGACAGAAGAATTCTGAGAAACTTCTCTTTGATGAGTGCATTCCTTTCACATAGTTGAAACATGCTATATGGGCCAGTTTGGAAACAGTCTTTTTGTAGTGTCTGCAGACAGATATTTTTGAGTGGCTTAAAGACTGTGGTGAAAAAAGAAATATCTTCACAGAGTAACCAGACAGAAGCTTTCTGAGAAACTTCTTTGTGATGTGTGCTTTCGTCTCACAGAGTTGAGCCTTTCTGTTGATTGACCAGTTTGGAAACATTCTTTCTGTAGAATCCGCAAATGGATATTTGGAGCAATTTGCGGCCTACGGTGAAGAAGGAAATATCTTCAGATAAAAACTAGACAGAAGCATTTTGAGAAACTTCTTTTTGATGTGTGTATTCATCTCTCAGAGTTGAACGTTTCTTTTGATTTAGCAATTTGGAGAAAGTCTCTTGGTAGTATAAGCGGAGTTATGTTTGTGAGTGGTTTAAGGCCTACGGTGCCAAAGGAAATACCTTCACATAAAATGCAGACAGAAGCTTTTTGAGAAAACTCTTTGTGACATTTCCATTCATCTCTAATAGTTGAAAATTTCTTCTCATTGAGCAGTTTGGAAACAGTCTTTTCCTACAAACTGCAAAGGGATATTTCTGAGCCGTTTGGGGCCAATGGTGAAAAATAAATATCTTCACATGAAAACTAGACAGAAGCTTTCTGACAAATTTCTTTGTGATGTGCACGTTTGTCACACGAAATTGAACCTTTCTTCTGATTGAGCAGTTTGGAATCAGTCTTTTTGTAGAATCTGTGAATGTATATTTAGAGAGTTTTAAGGCCTAGAGTGAAAAAGGAAACGTCTTCACATAAAAACGACACAGTAGCTTTCTGAGAAACTTCTTTGTGATGTGTCCATTCATCGCACAGAGTGAAACCTTTCTTTTGATTGAGGAGTTTGGAAAATGTCTTTTCTTAGAATCTGCAAAGGGATATTTGTGAGCCCTTTATGGCCTTTGTTGAAATATGAAATATCTTCACGTAAAAAGTAGACAGAAGATTTCTGAGAAATCTCTTTGTGATGTGTGAATTCATGTCACAGAATTCAACCTTCCTTTCAGTTGAGCAGTTTGGAACCAGTCTTTTGTAGAAGCTGCAGAGGGAAATTTCTTAGCTGCTTGAGGCCTAAGGTGAACCAGAAATAGCCTCACATAAAAAGTAGACAGAAGATTTCTGAGAAACTTCTTTGTGATGTGTGCCTTCATCTCACTGTGTTGAACCTTTCTTTTGATTGAGCAGTTTGGGAAGTCTTTCTGTAGAATCTGTAAATGGATATTTGGAGATATTTGAGGCCCGTGGTGAAAAAGGAAGTATCTTCACATAAAAACTAGACAGAATCATTCCAAGAAATTGTTTGTGATGTGTCCATTCACGTCACAGAGTTGAACCTTTCTTTTGATTGAGCAGTTTGGCAACAGTCTTTTTGTGGAACCTGCAAAGGGATATTTGTGAGCCCCTTATGGCCTGTGGTGGAATACGAAATATCTTCACATAAAAACTAGACAGGAGCTTTCTGAGAAACTCCCTTTTGATGTGTGCATTCACCTCACAGAGTTGAAACTTTCTTTTGATTGAGGAGATTGGAAAGAGGCTTATTGTACAATCTGCAAAGGGAGAATTCTGATCCGTTTGAGGCTTCTGGTGAAAGAGAAACATCTTCCCATAAAAACTAGACGGAAGCTTTCTAAGAAACTTCGTTGTGATGTGTGCTTTCATCTCACGGAATTGAAACTTTCTTTTGATTGAGGAGTTTGGAAACACTCTTTTTCTAGAATCTGCAAATGGATATTTGGAGAGATCCTGAGGCCCATGTTGAAAAACGAAACATCTTCACATAAAAACTAAACAGAAGCATTCTGAGGAACTTCTTTGTGATGTGTGCATTCATCTCACATAGTTGAAACTTTCTTTGGATTGAGCAGTTTTGAAACAGTCCTTTTGTAGAATCTGCCAAGGGATATTTCTGAGCCCATTGAGTACTATGATGCACTGTGAAGTATCTTCACATAAAAGCTAGACAGAAGATTTCTGAGAAACTACCTTTCGATGTGTCCATTAATCTAACAGAGTTAAAACTTTCTTTTTATTGAGCAGTTTGGATACAGTCTTTTTGTAGAATCTGCAAAAAATATTTGCGAGCCCTTTATTGCCTATGGTGAAATAGGAATCTTCTTCACATATAAACTAGACAGAAGCTTTCGGAGAAACTTCTTTGAGATGTGTGCTTTCACCTCACAGAGTTAAACACTTTCTTTTGATTGAGCTGTTTGGAAACACTCTTTTTGTGAAATCTGTAAATGGATATTAGGAGTGCTTTGAGGCCAATGGTGACAAAGGAAATATCTTCACATAAAAACTACACAGAGAGAATTCTGAGAAACTTCATTCTGATGTGTGCATTCACCTCACAGAATTTAACCTTTCTTTTGATTGAGCAGTATGGAAATGTTCGTCTTTTAGAATTTGGAAAGGGATATTTCTTAGCCCTTTGAGGCCTATGGTGAAACTGGAAATATCTTCACATGAAAACTAGACCAAGCATTCCGGGGAACTTCTTTGTGATGTCTCCATTCATCTGACAGAGTTGAAGGTTTCTTTCAATTCAGCACTGTGGAAACCATATTTTTGTAGAATCTGCAAAGGGATATTTTTGGGACCTTTGAAGCCTATAGTGAAAGAGTAAATATCTTCACACAGAAACTAGACAGGAGCTTTCTGAGAAACTTCTTTGTGATGTGCGCATTCATCTCACAGTGTTGAAACTTTATTTTGTTTGAGCAGTTTAGAAACAGTCTTTTTCTGCAATCTGCAAAGGTATATTTCTGAGCCATTTGAGGTCTATGGTGAAAAAGAAATATCTTCACATTGAAACTAGACAGAAGAATTCTGAGAAACTTCTTTATGATGTGTGCATTCCTCTCAGGTAGGTGAAATTTTCTTTTGATGGAGCAGTTTGGAAACAGTCTTTTTCTAGTATCTGCAGAAGGATATTTGTGAGCGGTGTAAGGACTATGCTGAAAAAGGAAATATCTTCACATAAAAACTAGACAGAAGATTTCTGAGAAACTTTTTTGTGATGGTTGCTTTCATCTCACAGAGTTGAAAATTTCTTTTGATTGAGCAGTTTGGAAACAGTCTTTTCGTATCATCTGCAAAGGGATGTGTGGAGCGCTTTGTGGCCTAAGGTGAAAATGGAAATATCTTCACATAAAATCTAGACAGAAGCATTCTGAGAAACTTCTTTGTGATGTGTTCATTCGTCTCACAATGTTGAACGTTTCTTTTGATTGAGAGGTTTGTAAACAGAACTTTTGTAGGATCTGCAAAGGGATATTTGTGAGCCCCTTGATTCCTATGGCAAAATAGGAATTATCTTGAGATAAAAACTAGACAGGAGAATTCTGAGAAACTTCTCTTTGATGAGTGCATTCATTTCACATAGTTGAAACATGCTATATGGGCCAGTTTGGAAACCGTCTTTTTGTAGTGTCTGCAGACAGATATTTTTGAGTGGCTTAAAGACTGTGGTGAAAAAAGAAATATCTTCACAGAGTAACCAGAGAGAAGCTTTCTGAGAAACTTCTTTGTGATGTGTGCTTTCGTCTCACAGAGTTGAGCCTTTCTGTTGATTGACCAGTTTGGAAACATTCTTTCTGTAGAATACGCAAATGGATATTTGGAGCAATTTGCGGCCTACGGTGAAGAAGGAAATATCTTCACATAAAAACTAGACAGAAGCATTTTGAGAAACTTCTTTTTGATGTGTGTATTCATCTCACAGTGTTGAACGTTTCTTTTGATTTAGCAATTTGGAGAAAGTCTCTTGGTAGTATAAGCGGAGTTATGTTTGTGAGTGGTTTAAGGCCTACGGTGCCAAAGGAAATACCTTCACATAAAATGCAGACAGAAGCTTTTTGAGAAAACTCTTTGTGACATTTCCATTCATCTCTCATATTTGACCATTTCTTCTCATTGAGCAGTTTGGAAACAGTCTTTTCCTACAAACTGCAAAGGGACATTTCTGAGCCGTTTGGGGCCAATGGTGAAAAATAAATATCTTCACATGAAAACTAGACAGAAGCTTTCTGACAAATTTCTTTGTGATGTGCACGTTTGTCACACGGAATTGAACCCTTCTTCTGATTGAGCAGTTTGGAATCAGTCTTTTTGTAGAATCTGTGAATGTGTGTTTAGAGAGTTTTAAGGCCTAGGGTGCAAGAGGCAATGTCTTCACATAAAAACGATACAGTAGCTTTCTGAGAAACTTCTTTGTGATGTGTCCATTCATCGCACAGAGTGAAACCTTTCTTTTGATTGAGGAGTTTGGAAAATGTCTTTTCTTAGAATCTGCAAAGGGTTATTTGTGAGCCCTTTACGGCCTTTGTTGAAATATGAAATATCTTCACGTAAAAAGTAGACAGAAGATTTCTGAGAAACCTCTTTGTGATGTGTGAATTCATGTCACAGAATTCAACCTTCCTTTCAGTTGAACAGTTTGTAACCAGTCTTTTGTAGAAGCTGCAGAGGGAAATTTCTTAGCTGCTTGAGGCCTATGGTGAACAAGAAATAGCCTCACATAAAAACTAGACAGAAGGTTTCTGAGAAACTTCTTGGTGATGTGTGCCTTCATCTCACAGTGTTGAACCTTTCTTTTGATGGAGCAGTTTGGAAAGTCTTTCTGTAGAATCTGCAAATGGATATTTGGAGATATTTGAGGCTCGTGGTGAAAAAGGAAGTATCTTCACATAAAAACTAGACAGGATCGTTCCAAGAAATTTTCTGCGATGTGTCCATTCACGTCACAGAGTTGAACCTTTCTTTTGATTGAGCAGTTTGGAAACAGTCTTTTTGTAGAACCTGCAAAGGGATATTTGTGAGCCCCTTATGGCCTGTGGTGAAATACGAAATATCTTCACATAAAAACTAGACAGGAGCTTTCGGAGAAACTCCCTTGTGATGTGTGCATTCACCTTACAGAGTTGAAACTTTCTTTTGGTTGAGCAGATTGGAAAGAGGCTTATTGTACAATCTGCAAAGGGAGAATTCTGATCCTTTTGAGGCTTCTGGTGAAAGAGAAACATCTTCCCATTAAAACTAGACGGAAGCTTTCTAAGAAACTTCGGTGTGATGTGTGCTTTCATCTCACAGAATTGAAACTTTCTTTTGATTGAGGAGTTTGGAAACACTCTTTTTCTAGAATCTGCAAGTGGATATTTGGAGAGCTTTTGAGGCCCATGTTGAAAAACGAAACATCTTCACGTAAAAACTAAACAGAAGCATTCTGAGGAACTTCCTTGTGATGTGTGCATTCATCTCACATAGTTGAAACTTTCTTTGGATTGAGCAGTTTTGAAACAGTCCTTTTGTAGAATCTGCCAAGGGATATTTCTGAGCCCATTGAGTACTATGCTGCAATGTGAAGTATCTTCACATAAAAACTAGACAGAAGTTTTCTGAGAAACTACCTTTCGATGTGTCCATTAATCTAACAGAGTTAAAACTTTCTTTTTATTGAGCAGTTTGGATACAGTCTTTTTGTAGAATCTGCAAAAAATATTTGCGAGCCCTTTATTGCCTATGGTGAAATAGGAATCTTCTTCACATATAAACTAGACAGAAGCTTTCGGAAAAACTTCTTTGAGATGTGTGCTTTCACCTCACAGAGTTAAACACTTTCTTTTGATTGAGCTGTTTGGAAACACTCTTTTTGTGAAATCTGTAAATGGATATTAGGAGTGCTTTGAGGCCAATGGTGACAAAGGAAATATCTTCACATAAAAACTAAACAGAAGAATTCTGAGAAACTTCATTCTGACGTGGGCATTAACCTCAGAGAACTTAACCTTTCTTTTGATTGAGAAGTATGGAAACGGTCGTCTTTTAGAATCTGGAAAGGGATATTTCTTAGCCCTTTGAGGCCTACGGTGAAACTGGAAATATCTTCACATGAAAAGTAGACCGAAGCATTCCGGGGAACTTCTTTGTGATGTCTCCATTCATCTGACAGAGTTGAAGGTTTCTTTCAATTCAGCACTGTGGAAACCATATTTTTGTAGAATCTGCAAAGGGATATTTTTGGGACCTTTGAAGCCTATAGTGAAATAGTAAATATCTTCACACAGAAACTAGACAGGAGCTTTCTGAGAAACTTCTTTCTGATGTGTGCATTCATCTCACAGTGTTGAAACTTTATTTTGTTTGAGAAGTTTAGAAACAGTCTTTTTCTGCAATCTGCAAAGGTATATTTCTGAGCCATTTGAGGTCTATGGTGAAAAAGAAATATCTTCACATTTAAACTAGACAGAAGAATTCTGAGAAACTTCTTTATGATGTGTGCATTCATCTCAGGTAGGTGAAATTTTCTTTTGATGGAGCAGTTTGGAAACAGTCTTTTTCTAGTATCTGCAGAAGGATATTTGTGAGCGGTGTAAGGACTATGCTGAAAAAGGAAATATCTTCACATAAAAACTAGACAGAAGATTTCTGAGAAACTTTTTTGTGATGGGTGCTTTCATCTCACAGAGTTGAAAGTTTCTTTTGATTGAGCAGTTTGGAAACAGTCTTTTCGTATCATCTGCAAAGGGATGTTTGGAACGCTTTGTGGCCTAAGGTGAAAATGGAAATATCTTCACATAAAATCTAGACACAAGCATTCTGAGAAACTTCTTTGTGATGTGTGCATTCATCTCACAATGTTGAACGTTTCTTTTGATTGAGCAGCTTGGAAACAGAACTTTTGTAGAATCTGCAAAGGGATATTTGTGAGCACATTGATTCCTATGGCAAAATAGGAATTATCTTGAGATAAAAGCTAGACAGAAGGTTTCTAAGAAATACTTTTGTGAAGTGTGCTTTCATCTCACAGAATTGAACCTTTCTTTTCATTGAGCAGTTTGAAAACACTATTTTTGTAGAATCTGCAAGTGGATATATGGAGTGTTTTCAGGCCCATGGTGAAAAAGTAAATATCTTCACATTAAAACCAGACAGAAGTTTTCTGAGAAACTTCTTTGTGATGTGTGCTTTCGTCTCACAGAGTTGAGCCTTTCTGTTGATTGACCAGTTTGGAAACATTCTTTCTGTAGAATCCGCAAATGGATATTTGGAGCAATTTGCGGCCTACGGTGAAGAAGGAAATATCTTCACATAAAAACTAGACAGAAGCATTTTGAGAAACTTCTTTTTGATGTGTGTATTCATCTCTCAGAGTTGAACGTTTCTTTTGATTTAGCAATTTGGAGAAAGTCTCTTGGTAGTATAAGCGGAGTTATGTTTGTGAGTGGTTTAAGGCCTACGGTGCTAAAGGAAATACCTTCACATAAAATGCAGACAGAAGCTTTTTGAGAAAACTCTTTGTGACATGTCCATTCATCTCTAATTGTTGACCATTTCTTCTCATTGAGCAGTTTGGAAACAGTCTTTTCCTACAAACTGCAAAGGGACATTTCTGAGCCGTTTGGGGCCAATGGTGAAAAATAAATATCTTCACATGAAAACTAGACAGATGCTTTCTGACAAATTTCTTTGTGATGTGCACGTTTGTCACAAGGAATTGAACCTTTCTTCTGATTGAGCAGTTTGGAATCAGTCTTTTTGTAGAATCTGTGAATGTATATTTAGAGAGTTTTAAGGCCTAGAGTGAAAAAGGAAACGTCTTCACATAAAAACGACACAGTAGCTTTCTGAGAAATTTCTTTGTGATGTGTCCATTCATCGCACAGAGTGAAACATTTCTTTTGATTGAGGAGTTTGGAAAATGTCTTTTCTTAGAATCCGCAAAGGGATATTTGTGAGCCCTTTATGGCCTTTGTTGAAATATGAAATATCTTCACATAAAAAGTAGACAGAAGATTTCTGAGAAACCTCTTTGTGATGTGTGAATTCATGTCACAGAATTCAACCTTCCTTTCAGTTGAGCAGTTTGTAACCAGTCTTTTGTAGAAGCTGCAGAGGGAAATTTCTTAGCTGCTTGAGGCCTATGGTGAACAAGAAATAGCCTCACATAAACAGTAGACCGAAGATTTCTGAGAAACTTCTTTGTGATGTGTGCCTTCATCTCACTGTGTTGAACCTTTCTTTTGATTGAGCAGTTTGGGAAGTCTTTCTGTAGAATCTGCAAATGGATATTTGGAGATATTTGAGGCCCTTGGTGAAAAAGGAAGTATCTTCACATAAAAACTAGACAGAATGATTCCGAAAAATTTTTTGTGATGTGTCCATTCACGTCACAGAGTTGAACCTTTCTTTTGATTGAGCAGTTTGAAAACAGTCTTTTTGTAGAACCTGCAAAGGGATATTTGTGAGCCCCTTATGGCCTGTGGTGAAATACGAAATATCTTCACATAAAAACTAGACAGGAGCTTTCTGAGAAACTCCCTTGTGATGTGTGCATTCACCTCACAGAGTTGAAACTTTCTTTTGATTGAGCAGATTGGAAAGAGGCTCATTGTACAATCTGCAAAGGGAGAATTCTGATCCGTTTGAGGCTTATGGTGAAAGAGAAACATCTTCCCATAAAAACTAGACGGACGCTTTCTAAGAAACTTCGTTGTGATGTGTGCTTTCGTCTCACAGAATTGAAACTATCCTTTGATTGAGGAGTTTGGAAACACTCTTTTTCTAGAATATGCAAATGGATATTTGGAGAGCTTTTGAGGCCCGTGGTGAAAAACGAAATATCTTCACGTAAAAACTAAACAGAAGCATTCTGAAGAACTCCTTTGTGATGTGTGCATTCATCTCACATAGTTGAAACTTTCTTTGGATTGAGCAGTTTTGAAACAGTCCTTTTGTAGAATCTGCCAGGGGATATTTCTGAGCCCATTGAGTACTATGATGCACTGTGAAGTATCTTCACATAAAAACTAGACAGAAGTTTTCTGAGAAACTACTTTTCGATGTGTCCGTTAATCTAACAGAGTTAAAACTTTCTTTTTATTGAGCAGTTTGGACACAGTCTTTTTGTAGAATCTGCAAAACATATTTGTGAGCCCTTTATTGCCTATGGTGAAATAGGAATCATCTTCACATATAAACTAGACAGAAGCGTTCTGAGAAACTTCATTGAGATGTGTGCTTTCACCTCACAGAGTTAAACACTTTCTTTTGATTGAGCTGTTTGGAAACACTCTTTTTGTGAAATCTGTAAATGGATATTAGGAGTGCTTTGAGGCCAATGGTGACAAAGGAAATAACTTCTCATAAAAACTAAACAGAAGAATTCTGAGAAATTTCATTCTCATGTGTGCATTCACCTCACAGAATTTAAGCTTTCTTTTGATTGAGCAGTATGGAAGTGGTTGTCTTTTAGAATCTGGAAAGGGATATTTCTTGGCCCTTTGAGGCCTATGGTGAAACTGGAAATATCTTTACATGAAAACTAGACCGAAGCGTTCCGAGGAACTTCTTTGTGATGTCTCCATTCATCTGACAGAGTTGAAGGTTTCTTTTAATTCAGCACTGTGGAAACCGTATTTTTGCAGAATCTGCAAAGGGATATTTTTGAGACCTTTGAAGCCTACAGTGAAATAGTAAATATCTTCACATAGAAACTAGACAGGAGCTTTCTGAGAAACTTCTTTGTGATGTGTGCATTCATCTCACAGTGTTGAAACTTTATTTTATTTGAGCAGTTTAGAGACAGTCTTTTTCTGCAATCTGCAAAGGCTTATTTCTGAGCCATTTGAGGTCTGTGGTGAAAGAGAAATATCTTCACATTTAAACTAGACAGAAGAATTCTGAGAAACTTCTTTGTGATGTGTGCATTCATCTCAGAGAGGTGAACTTTTCTTTTGATGGAGCAGTTTGGAAACAGTATTTTTTTAGTATCTGCAGAAGGATATTTGTGAGCAGTTTAAGGCCTATGGTGAAAAAGGAAATATCTTCACATAAAAACTAGACAGAAGATTTCTGAGAAACTTTCTTGTGATGGGTGCTTTCATCTCACAGAGTTGAAAATTTCTTTTGATTGAGCAGTTTGGAAACAGTCTTTTCGTATCATCTGCAAAGGGATGTTTGGAGCGCTTTGTGGTCTAAGGTGAAAATGGAAATATCTTCACATAAAATCTAGACAGAAGCATTCTGAGAAACTTCTTTGTGATGTGTTCATTCACCTCACAATGTTGAACGTTTCTTTTGATTGAGAGCTTTGTAAACAGAACTTTTGTAGAATCTGCAAAGGGATATTTGTGAGCCCCTTGATTCCTATGGCAAAATAGGAATTATCTTGAGATAAAAACTAGACAGAAGAATTCTGAGAAACTTCTCTTTGATGAGTGCATTCATTTCACATATTTGAAACATGCTATATGGGCCAGTTTGGAAACAGTCTTTTTGTAGTGTCTGCAGACAGATATTTTTGAGTGGCTTAAAGACTGTGGTGAAAAAAGAAATATCTTCACAGAGTAACCAGACAGAAGCTTTCTGAGAAACTTCTTTGTGATGTGTGCTTTCGTCTCACAGAGTTGAGCCTTTCTGTTGATTGACCAGTTTGGAAACATTCTTTCTGTAGAATCCGCAAATGGATATTTGGAGCAATTTGCGGCCTACGGTGAAGAAGGAAATATCTTCACATAAAAACTAGACAGAAGCATTTTGAGAAACTTCTTTTTGATGTGTGTATTCATCTCACAGAGTTGAACGTTTCTTTTGATTTAGCAATTTGGAGAAAGTCTCTTGGTAGTATAAGCAGAGTTATGTTTGTGAGTGGTTTAAGGCCTACGGTGCCAAAGGAAATACCTTCACATAAAATGTAGACAGAAGAATTTTGAGAAAACTCCTTGTGACATTTCCATTCATCTCTAATAGTTGACCATTTCTTCTCATTGAGCAGTTTGGAAACAGTCTTTTCCTACAAACTGCAAAGGGATATTTCTGAGCCGTTTGGGGCCAATGGTGAAAAATAAATATCTTCACATGAAAACTAGGCAGAAGCTTTCTGACAAATTTCTTTGTGATGTGCACGTTTGTCACACGGAACTGAACCTTTCTTCTGATTGAGCAGTTTGGAATCAGTCTTTTTGTAGAATCTGTGAATGTATATTTAGAGAGTTTTAAGGCCTAGAGTGAAAAAGGAAACGTCTTCACATAAAAACGACGCAGTAGCTTTCTGAGAAACTTCTTTGTGATGTGTCCATTCATCGCACAGAGTGAAACCTGTCTTTTGATTGAGGAGTTTGGAAAATGTCTTTTCTTAGAATCTGCAAAGGCATATTTGTGAGCCCTTTATGGCCTTTGTTGAAATATGAAATATCTTCACATAAAAAGTAGACAGAAGATTTCTGAGAAATCTCTTTGTGATGTGTGAATTCATGTCACAGAATTCAACCTTCCTTTCAGTTGAGCAGTTTGGAACCAGTCTTTTGTAGAAGCTGCAGAGGGAAATTTCTTAGCTGCTTGAGGCCTATGGTGAACCAGAAATAGCCTCACATAAAAAGTAGACAGAAGATTTCTGAGAAACTTCTTTGTGATGTGTGCTTTCATCTCACAGTGTTGAACCTTTCTTTGATTGAGCAGTTTGGAAAGTCTTTTTTGTAGAATCTGCAAATGGATATTTGGAGCTATTTCAGGCCCATGGTGAAAAAGAAAGTATCTTCACATAAAAACTAGACAGAATCATTCCAAGAAATTTTCTGCGATGAGTCCATTCACGTCACAGAGTTGAACCTTTCTTTTGATTGAGCAGTTTGGAAACAGTCTTTTTGTGGAACCTGCAAAGGGATATTTGTGAGCCCCTTGTGGTCTTTGGTGAAATACGAAATATCTTCAAATAAAAACTAGACAGGAGCTTTCTGAGAAACTAACTTGTGATGTGTGCATTCACCTCACAGAGTTGAAACTTTCTTTTGATTGAGCAGATTGGAAAGAGGCTTATTGTACAATCTGCAAAGGGAGAATTCCGATCCGTTTGAGGCTTCTGGTGAAAGAGAAACATCTTCCCATAAAAACTAGACGGAAGCTTTCTAAGAAACTTCGGTGTGATGTGGGCTTTCATCTCACAGAATTGAAACTTTCTTTTGATTGAGGAGTTTGGAAACACTCTTTTTCTAGAATCTGCAAGTGGATATTTGGAGAGCTTTTGAGGCCCATGTTGAAAAACGAAACATCTTCACGTAAAAACTAAACAGAAGCATTCTGAGAAACTTCTTTGTGATGTGTGCATTCATCTCACAGAGTTGAAACTTTCTTTGGATTGAGCAGTTTGGAAACAGTCCTTTTGTAGAATCTGCAAAGGGATATTTCTGAGCCCATTGAGTACTATGGTGAAATGTGAAATATCTTCACATAAAAACTAGACAGAAGTTTTCTGAGAAACTACTTTTCGATGTGTCCATTAATCTAACAGAGTTGAAACTTTCTTTTTATTGAGCAGTTTGGATACAGTCTTTTTGTAGAATCTGCAAAAAATATTTGTGAGCCCTTTATTGCCTATGGTGAAATAGGAATCTTCTTCACATATAAACTAGACAGAAGCTTTCGGAGAAACTTCTTTGAGATGTGTGCTTTCACCTCACAGAGTTAAACACTTTCTTTTGATTGAGCTGTTTGGAAACACTCTTTTTGTGAAATCTGTAAATGGATATTAGGAGTGCTTTGAGACCAATGGTGACAAAGGAAATATCTTCACATAAAAACTACACAGAAGAATTCTGAGAAACTTCATTCTGACGTGGGCATTAACCTCAGAGAATTTAACCTTTCTTTTGATTGAGAAGTATGGAAACGGCCGTCTTTTAAAATCTGGAATGGGATATTTCTTAGCCCTTTGAGGCCTACGGTGAAACTGGAAATATCTTCACATGAAAAGTAGACCGAAGCGTTCCGAGGAACTTCTTTGTGATGTCTCCATTCATCTGACAGAGTTGAAGGTTTCTTTTAATTCAGCACTGTGGAAACCGTATTTTTGCAGAATCTGCAAAGGGATATTTTTGAGACCTTTGAAGCCTACAGTGAAATAGTAAATATCTTCACATAGTAACTAGACAGGAGCTTTCTGAGAAACTTCTTTGTGATGTGTGCATTCATCTCACAGTGTTGAAACTTTATTTTATTTGAGCAGTTTAGAGACAGTCTTTTTCTGCAATCTGCAAAGGCATATTTCTGAGCCATTTGAAGTCTGTGGTGAAAGAGAAATATCTTCACATTTAAACTAGACAGAAGAATTCTGAGAAACTTCTTTATGATGGGTGCATTCATCTCAGGTAGGTGAAATTTTCTTTTGATGGAGCAGTTTGGAAACAGTCTTTTTCTAGTATCTGCAGAAGGATATTTGTGAGCGGTGTAAGGACTACGCTGAAAAAGGAAATATCTTCACATAAAAACTAGACAGAAGATTTCTGAGAAACTTTTTTGTGATGGGTGCTTTCATCTCACAGAGTTGAAAATTTCTTTTGATTGAGCAGTTTGGAAACAGTCTTTTCGTATCATCTGCAAAGGGATGTTTGGAGCGCTTTGTGGCCTAAGGTGAAAATGGAAATGTCTTCACAGAAAATCTAGACAGAAGCATTCTGAGAAACTTCTTTGTGATGTGTTCATTCATCTCACAATGTTGAACGTTTCTTTTGATTGAGAGGTTTGTAAACAGAACTTTTGTAGAATCTGCAAAGGGATATTTGTGAGCCCCTTGATTCCTATGGCAAAATAGGAATTATCTTGAGATAAAAACTAGACAGAAGAATTCGGAGAAACTTCTCTTTGATGAGTGCATTCATTTCACATAGTTGAAACATGCTATATGGGCCAGTTTGGAAACTGTCTTTTTGTAGTGTCTGCAGACAGATATTTTTGAGTGGCTTAAAGACTGTGGTGAAAAAAGAAATATCTTCACAGAGTAACCAGACAGAAGCTTTCTGAGAAACTTCTTTGTGATGTGTGCTATCGTCTCACAGAGTTGAGCCTTTCTGTTGATTGACCAGTTTGGAAACATTCTTTTTGTAGAATCCGCAAATGGATATTTGGAACAATTTGCGGCCTACGGTGAAGAAGGAAATATCTTCACATAAAAACTAGACAGAACCATTTTGAGAAACTTCTTTTTGATGTGTGTATTCATCTCACAGAGTTGAACGTTTCTTTTGATTTAGCAATTTGGAGAAAGTCTCTTGGTAGTATAAGCGGAGTTATGTTTGTGAGTGGTTTAAGGCCTACGGTGCCAAAGGAAATACCTTCACAAAAAATGTAGACAGAAGCTTTTTGAGAAAACTCTTTGTGACATGTCCATTCATCTCTAATAGTTGACCATTTCTTCTCATTGAGCAGTTTGGAAACAGTCTTTTCCTACAAACTGCAAAGGGACATTTCTGAGCCGTTTGGGGCCAATGGTGAAAAATAAATATCTTCACATGAAAACTAGACAGAAGGTTTCTGACAAATTTCTTTCTGATGTGCACGTTTGTCACACGGAACTGAACCTTTCTTCTGATTGAGCAGTTTGGAATCAGTCTTTTTGTAGAATCTGTGAATGTATATTTAGAGAGTTTTAAGGCCTAGAGTGAAAAAGGAAACGTCTTCACATAAAAACGACACAGTAGCTTTCTGAGAAACTTCTTCGTGATGTGTCCATTCATCTCACAGAGTTAAACCTTTCTTTTGGTTGAGGAGTTTGGAAAACGTCTTTTCTTAGAATCTGCGAAGGGATATTTGTGAGTCCTTTATGGCCTTTGTTGAAATATGAAATATCTTCACATAAAAAGTAGACAGAAGATTTCTGAAAAACCTCTTTGTGATGTGTGAATTCATGTCACAGAATTCAACCTTTCTTTCAGTTGAGCAGTTTGGAAACAGTCTTTTGTAGAAGCTGCAGAGGGAAATTTCTTAGCTGCTTGAGGCCTATGGTGAACAAGAAATAGCCTCACATAAAAACTAGACAGAAGATTTCTGAGAAACTTCTTTGTGATGTGTGCCTTCATCTCACTGTGTTGAACCTTTCTTTTGATTGAGCAGTTTGGGAAGTCTTTCTGTAGAATCTGCAAATGGATATTTGGAGATATTTGAGGCCCGTGGTGAAAAAGGAAGTATCTTCACATAAAATCTAGACAGAATCATTCCGAGAAATTTTTTGTGATGTGTCCATTCACGTCACAGAGTTGAACCTTTCTTTTGATTGAGCAGTTTGGAAACAGTCTTTGTGTAGAACCTGCAAAGGGATATTTGTGAGTCCCTTATGGCCTGTGGTGAAATACGAAATATCTTCACACAAAAACTAGACAGGAGCTTTCTGAGAAACTCCCTTGTGATGTGTGCATTCACCTCCCAGAGTTGAAACTTTCTTTTGATTGAGCAGATTGGAAAGAGGCTTACTGTACAATCTGCAAAGGGAGAATTCTGATCCGTTTGAGGCTTCTGGTGAAAGAGAAACATCTTCCCATAAAAACTACAAGGAATCTTTCTAAGAAACTTCGGTGTGATGTGTGCTTTCATCTCACAGAATTGAAACTTTCTTTTGATTGAGGAGTTTGGAAACACTCTTTTTCTAGAATCTGCAAGTGGATATTTGGAGAGCTTTTGAGGCCCATGTTGAAAAACGAAACATCTTCACGTAAAAACTAAACAGAAGCATTCTGAGGAACTTCTTTGTGATGTGTGCATTCATCTCACATAGTTGAAACTTTTTTTGGATTGAGCAGTTTGGAAACAGTCATTTTGTAAAATCTGCAAAGGGATATTTCTGAACCCATTGAGTACTATGGTGCAATGTGAAATATCTTCACATAAAAACTAGACAAAAGTTTTCTGAGAAACTACTTTTCGATGTGTCCATTAATCTAACAGAGTTAAAACTTTCTTTTTATTGAGCAGTTAGGATACAGTCTTTTTGTAGAATCTGCAAAAAATATTTGTGAGCCCTTTATTGCCTATGGTGAAATAGGAATCTTCTTCACATATAAACTAGACAGAAGCTTTCTGAGAAACTTCATTGAGATGTGTGCTTTCACCTCACAGAGTTAAACACTTTCTTTTGATTGAGCTGTTTGGAAACACTCTTTTTGTGAAATCTGTAAATAGTTATTAGGAGTGATATGAGGCCAATGGTGGCAAAGGAAATATCTTTACATAAAAACTAAACAGAAGAATTCTGAGAAACTTCATTCTGATGTGTGCATTCACCTCACAGAATTTAACCTTTCTTTTGATTGAGCAGTATGGAAATGTTCGTCTTTTAGAATTTGGAAAGGGATATTTCTTAGCCCTTTGAGGCCTATGGTGAAACTGGAAATATCTTCACATGAAAACTAGACCAAAGCATTCCGAGGAACTTCTTTGTGATGTCTCCATTCATCTGACAGAGTTGAAGGTTTCTTTTAATTCAGCACTGTGGAAACCGTATTTTTGTAGAATCTGCAAAGGGATATTTTTGAGACCTTTGAAGCCTACAGTGAAATAGTAAATATCTTCACATAGAAACTAGACAGGAGCTTTCTGAGAAACTTCTTTGTGATGTGTGCATTCATCTCACAGTGTTGAAACTTTATTTTATTTGAGCAGTTTAGAGACAGTCTTTTTCTGCAATCTGCAAAGGCATATTTCTGAGCCATTTGAGGTCTGTGGTGAAAGAGAAATATCTTCACATTTAAACTAGACAGAAGAATTCTGAGCAAACTTCTTTATGATGGGTGCATTCATCTCAGGTAGGTGAAATTTTCTTTTGATGGAGCAGTTTGGAAACAGTCTTTTTCTAGTATCTGCAGAAGGATATTTGTGAGCGGTGTAAGGACTACGCTGAAAAAGGAAATATCTTCACATAAAAACTAGACAGAAGATATCTGAGAAACTTTTTTGTGATGGGTGCTTTCATCTCACAGAGTTGAAAATTTCTTTTGATTGAGCAGTTTGGAAACAGTCTTTTCGTATCATCTGCAAAGGGATGTTTGGAGCGCTTTGTGGCCTAAGGTGAAAATGGAAATATCCTCACATAAAATCTAGACAGAAGCATTCTGAGAAACTTCTTTGTGATGTGTTCATTCATCTCACAATGTTGAACGTTTCTTTTGATTGAGAGGTTTGTAAACACAACTTTTGTAGAATCTGCAAAGGGATATTTGTGAGCCCCTTGATTCCTATGGCAAAATAGGAATTCTCTTGAGATAAAAACTAGACAGAAGAATTCTGAGAAACTTCTCTTTGATGAGTGCATTCATTTCACATAGTTGAAACATGCTATATGGGCCAGTTTGGAAACAGTCTTTTTGTAGTGTCTGCAGACAGATATTTTTGAGTGGCTTAAAGACTGTGGTGAAAAAAGAAATATCTTCACAGAGTAACCAGACAGAAGCTTTCTGAGAAACTTTGTGATGTGTGTTTTCGTCTCACAGAGTTGAGCCTTTCTTTTGATTGACCAGTTTGGAAACACTCTTTTTGTAGAATCTGCAAATGGATATTTGGAGCAATTTGAGAACTATGGTGAAAAAGGAAATATCTTCACATAAAAACTAGACAGAAAGCATTTTGAGAAACTTCTTTTTGATGTGTGTATTCATCTCACAGAGTTGAACGTTTCTTTTGATTTAGCGATTTGGAGAAAGTCTCTTGGTAGTATAAGCGGAGTTATGTTTGTGAGTGGTTTAAGGCCTACGGTGCCAAAGGAAATACCTTCACATAAAATGTAGACAGAAGCTTTATGAGAAAACTCTTTGTGACATTTCCATTCATCTCTAATAGTTGACCATTTCTTTTCATTGAGCAGTTTGGAAACAGTCTTTTCCTACAAACTGCAAAGGGATATTTCTGAGCCGTTTGGGGCCAATGGTGAAAAATAAATATCTTCACATGAAAACTAGACAGAAGCTTTCTGACAAATTTCTTTGTGATGTGCACGTTTGTCACACGGAATTGAAACTTTCTTCTGATTGAGCAGTTTGGAATCCGTCTTTTTGTAGAATCTGTGAATGTATATTTAGAGAGTTTTAAGGCCTAGAGTGAAAAAGGAAACGTCTTCACATAAAAACGACACAGTAGCTTTCTGAGAAACTTCTTTGTGATGTGTCCATTCATCGCACAGAGTGAAACCTTTCTTTTGATTGAGGAGTTTGGAAAATGTCTTTTCTTAGAATCTGCAAAGGGATATTTGTGATCCTTTTATGGCCTTTGTTGAAATATGAAATATCTTCACGTAAAAAGTAGACAGAAGATTTCTGAAAAACCTCTTTGTGATGTGTGAATTCATGTCACAGAATTCAACCTTCCTTTCAGTTGAGCAGTTTGGAACCAGTCTTTTGTAGAAGCTGCAGAGGGAAATTTCTTAGCTGCTTGAGGCCTATGGTGAACAAGAAATAGCCTCACATAAAAAGTAGACAGAAGATTTCTGAGAAACTTTTTTGTGATGTGTGCCTTCATCTCACTGTGTTGAACCTTTCTTTTGTTTGAGCAGTTTGGGAAGTCTTTCTGTAGAATCTGCAAATGGATATTTGGAGATATTTGAGGCCCTTGGTGAAAAAGGAAGTATCTTCACATAAAACTAGACAGAATCATTCCGAGAAATTTTTTGTGATGTGTCCATTCACGTCACAGAGTTGAACCTTTCTTTTGATTGAGCAGTTTGGAAACAGTCTTTGTGTAGAACCTGCAAAGGGATATTTGTGAGCCCCTTATGGCCTGTGGTGAAATACGAAATATCTTCACACAAAAACTAGACAGGAGCTTTCTGAGAAACTCCCTTGTGATGTGTGCATTCACCTCACAGAGTTGAAACTTTCTTTTGATTGAGCAGATTGGAAAGAGGCTTATTGTACAATCTGCAAAGGGAGAATTCTGATCCGTTTGAGGCTTATGGTGAAAGAGAAACATCTTCCCATAAAAACTAGACGGAAGCTTTCTAAGAAACTTCGTTGTGATGTGTGCTTTCATCTCACGGAATTGAAACTTTCTTTTGATTGAGGAGTTTGGAAACACTCTTTTTCTAGAATCTGCAAATGGATATTTGGAGAGATCCTGAGGCCCATGTTGAAAAACGAAACATCTTCACGTAAAAACTAAACAGAAGCATTCTGAGGAACTTCTTTGTGATGTGTGCATTCATCTCACATAGTTGAAACTTTCTTTGGATTGAGCAGTTTTGAAACAGTCCTTTTGTAGAATCTGCCAAGGGATATTTCTGAGCCCATTGAGTACTATGATGCACTGTGAAGTATCTTCACATAAAAACTAGACAGAAGTTTTCCGAGAAACTACTTTTCGATGTGTCCGTTAATCTAACAGAGTTAAAACTTTCTTTTTATTGAGCAGTTTGGACACAGTCTTTTTGTAGAAACTGCAAAAAATATTTGTGAGCCCTTTATTGCCTATGGTGAAATAGGAATCTTCTTCACATATAAACTAGACAGAAGCTTTCTGAGAAACTCCTTGGAGATGTGTGCTTTCACCTCACAGAGTTAAACACTTTCTTTTGATTGAGCTGTTTGGAAACACTCTTTTTGTGAAATCTGTAAATGGATATTAGGAGTGCTTTGAGGCCAATGGTGACAAAGGAAATATCTTCACATAAAAACTAAACAGAAGAATTCTGAGAAACTTCATTCTGACGTGGGCATTAACCTCAGAGAATTTAACCTTTCTTTTGATTGAGAAGTATGGAAACGGTCGTCTTTTAGAATCTGGAAAGGGATATTTCTTAGCCCTTTGAGGCCTACGGTGAAACTGGAAATATCTTCACATGAAAAGTAGACCGAAGCATTCCGAGGAACTTCTTTGTGATGTCTCCATTCATCTGACAGAGTTGAAGGTTTCTTTTAATTCAGCACTGTGGAAACCGTATTTTTGTAGAATCTGTAAAGGGATATTTTTGAGACCTTTGAAGCCTATAGTGAAATAGTAAATATCTTCACATAGAAACTAGACAGGAGCTTTCTGAGAAACTTCTTTGTGATGTGTGCATTCATCTCACAGTGTTGAAACTTTATTTTATTTGAGCAGTTTAGAGACAGTCTTTTTCTGCAATCTGCAAAGGCATATTTCTGAGCCATTTGAGGTCTGTGGTGAAAGAGAAATATCTTCACATTTAAACTGGACAGAAGAATTCTGAGAAACTTCTTTATGATGTGTGCATTCATCTCAGGTAGGTGAAATTTTCTTTTGATGGAGCAGTTTGGAAACAGTCTTTTTCTAGTATCTGCAGAAGGATATTTGTGAGCGGTGTAAGGACTATGGTGAAAAAGGAAATATCTTCACATAAAAACTAGACAGAAGATTTCTGAGAAACTTTTTTGTGATGGGTGCTTTCATCTCACAGAGTTGAAAATTTCTTTTGATTGAGCAGTTTGGAAACAGTCTTTTCGTATCATCTGCAAAGGCATGTTTGGAGCGCTTTGTGGCCTAAGGTGAAAATGGAAATATCTTCACATAAAATCTAGACAGAAGCATTCTGAGAAGCTTCTTTATGATGTGTTCATTCATCTCACAATGTTGAACGTTTCTTTTGATTGAGAGGTTTGTAAACAGAACTTTTGTAGAATCTGCAAAGGGATATTTGTGAGCCCCTTGATTCCTATGGCAAAATAGGAATTATCTTGAGATAAAAACTAGACAGAAGAATTCTGAGAAACTTCTCTTTGATGAGTGCATTCATTTCACATAGTTGAAACATGCTATATGGGCCAGTTTGGAAACCGTCTTTTTGTAGTGTCTGCAGACAGATATTTTTGAGTGGCTTAAAGACTGTGGTGAAAAAAGAAATATCTTCACAGAGTAACCAGACAGAAGCTTTCTGAGAAACTTCTTTGTGATGTGTGCTTTCGTCTCACAGAGTTGAGCCTTTCTGTTGATTGACCAGTTTGGAAACATTCTTTTTGTAGAATCCGCAAATGGATATTTGGAACAATTTGCGGCCTACGGTGAAGAAGGAAATATCTTCACATAAAAACTAGACAGAAGCATTTTGAGAAACTTCTTTTTGATGTGTGTATTCATCTCACAGAGTTGAACGTTTCTTTTGATTTAGCAATTTGGAGAAAGTCTCTTGGTAGTATAAGCGGAGTTATGTTTGTGAGTGGTTTAAGGCCTAAGGTGCCAAAGGAAATACCTTCACATAAAATGCAGACAGAAGCTTTTTGAGAAAACTCTTTGTGACATTTCCATTCATCTCTAAGAGTTGACCATTTCTTTTCATTGAGCAGTTTGGAAACAGTCTTTTTGTACAAAATGCAAAGGGATATTTCTGAGCAGTTTGAGGCCAATGGTGAAAAATAAATATCTTCACATGAAAACTAGACAGAAGCTTTCTGACAAATTGCTTTGTGATGTGCAAGTTTGTCACACGGAATTGAACTTTTCTTCTGATTGAGCAGTTTGGAATCAGTCTTTTTGTAGAATCTGTGAATGTATATTTAGGGAGTTTTAAGGCCTAGAGTGAAAAAGGAAACGTCTTCACATAAAAACGACACAGTAGCTTTCTGAGAAACTTCTTTGTGATGTGTCCATTCATCGCACAGAGTGAAACCTTTCTTTTGATTGAGGAGTTTGGAAAATGTCTTTCCTTAGAATCTGCAAAGGGATATTTGTGAGCCCTTTATGGCCTTTGTTGAAATATGAAATATCTTCACATAAAAAGTAGACAGAAGATTTCTGAAAAACCTCTTTGTGATGTGTGAATTCATGTCACAGAATTCAACCTTCCTTTCAGTTGAGCAGTTTGGAACCAGTCTTTTGTGGAAGCTGCAGAGGGAAATTTCTTAGCTGCTTGAGGCCTATGGTGAACAAGAAATAGCCTCACATAAAAAGTAGACAGAAGATTTCTGAGAAAGTTCTTTGTGATGTGTGCCTTCATCTCACTGTGTTGAACCTTTCTTTTGATTGAGCAGTTTGGGAAGTCTTTCTGTAGAATCTGCAAATGGATATTTGGAGATATTTGAGGCCCTTGGTGAAAAAGGAAGTATCTTCACATAAAAACTAGACAGAATCATTCCGAGAAATTTTTTGTGATGTGTCCATTCACGTCACAGAGTTGAACCTTTATTTTGATTGAGCAGTTTGAAAACAGTCTTTTTGTAGAACCTGCAAAGGGATATTTGTGAGCCCCTTATGGCCTGTGGTGAAATACGAAATATCTTCACATAAAAACTAGACAGGAGCTTTCTCAGAAACTCCCTTGTGATGTGTGCATTCACCTCACAGACTTGAAACTGTCTTTTGATTGAGCAGATTGGAAAGAGGCTTATTGTACAATCTGCAAAGGGAGAATTCTGATCCGTTTGAGGCTTCTGGTGAAAGAGAAACATCTTCCCATAAAAACTAGACGGAAGCTTTCTAAGAAACTTCGGTGTGATGTGTGTTTTCATCTCAGGGAATTGAAACTTTCTTTTCATTGAGGAGTTTGGAAACACTCTTTTTCTAGAATCTGCAAATGGATATTTGGAGAGATTCTGAGGCCCATGTTGAAAAACGAAACATCTTCACGTAAAAACTAAACAGAAGCATTCTGAGGAACTTCTTTGTGATGGGTGCATTCATCTCACATAGTTGAAACTTTCTTTGGATTGAGCAGTTTTGAAACAGTCCTTTTGTAGAATCTGCCAAGGGATATTTCTGAGCCGATTGAGTACTATGCTGCAATGTGAAGTATCTTCACATAAAAACTAGACAGAAGTTTTCTGAGAAACTACTTTTCGATGTGTCCGTTAATCTAACAGAGTTAAAACTTTCTTTTTATTGAGCAGTTTGGACACAGTCTTTTTGTAGAATCTGCAAAAAATATTTGTGAGCCCTTTATTGCCTATGGTGAAATAGGAATCTTCTTCACATATAAACTAGACAGAAGCTTTCTGAGAAACTTCTTGGAGATGTGTGCTTTCACCTCACAGAGTTAAACACTTTCTTTTGATTGAGCTGTTTGGAAACACTCTTTTTGTGAAATCTGTAAATGGATATTAGGAGTGCTTTGAGGCCAATGGTGACAAAGGAAATATCTTCACATAAAAACTAAACAGAAGAATTCTGAGAAACTTCATTCTGACGTGGGCATTAACCTCAGAGAATTTAACCTTTCTTTGGATTGAGAAGTATGGAAACGGTCGTCTTTTAGAATCGGGAAAGGGATATTTCTTAGCCCTTTGAGGCCTACGGTGAAACTGGAAATATCTTCACATGAAAAGTAGACCGAAGCATTCCGAGGAACTTCTTTGTGATGTCTCCATTCATCTGACAGAGTTGAAGGTTTCTTTTAATTCAGCACTGTGGAAACCGTATTTTTGCAGAATCTGCAAAGGGATATTTTTGAGACCTTTGAAGCCTACAGTGAAATAGTAAATATCTTCACATAGAAACTAGACAGGAGCTTTCTGAGAAACTTCTTTGTGATGTGTGCATTCATCTCACAGTGTTGAAACTTTATTTTATTTGAGCAGCTTAGAGACAGTCTTTTTCTGCAATCTGCAAAGGCATATTTCTGAGCCATTTGAGGTCTGTGGTGAAAGAGAAATATCTTCACATTTAAACTAGACAGAAGAATTCTGAGAAACTTCTTTATGACGTGTGCATTCATCTCAGGTAGGTGAAATTTTCTTTTGATGGAGCAGTTTGGAAACAGTCTTTTTCTAGTATCTGCAGAAGGATATTTGTGAGCGGTGTAAGGACTATGCTGAAAAAGCAAATATCTTCACATAAAAACTAGACAGAAGATTTCTGAGAAACTTTTTTGTGATGGGTGCTTTCATCTCACAGAGTTGAAAGTTTCTTTTGATTGAGCAGTTTGGAAACAGTCTTTTCGTATCATCTGCAAAGGGATGTTTGGAGCGCTTTGTGGCCTAAGGTGAAAATGGAAATATCTTCACATAAAATCTAGACAGAAGCATTCTGAGAAACTTTCTTTGTGATGTGTTCATTCATCTCACAATGTTGAACGTTTCTTTTGATTGAGAGGTTTGTAAACAGAACTTTTGTAGAATCTGCAAAGGGATATTTGTGAGCCCCTTGATTCCTATGGCAAAATAGGAATTATCTTGAGATAAAAACTAGACAGAAGAATTCTGAGAAACTTCTCTTTGATGAGTGCATTCATTTCACATAGTTGAAAAATGCTATATGGGCCAGTTTGGAAACAGTCTTTTTGTAGTGTCTGCAGACAGATATTTTTGAGTGGCTTAAAGACTGTGGTGAAAAAAGAAATATCTTCACAGAGTAACCAGACAGAGGCTTTCCGAGAAACTTCTTTGTGATGTGTGCTTTCGTCTCACAGAGTTGCGCCTTTCTGTTGATTGACCAGTTTGGGAACATTCTTTTTGTAGAATCTGCAAATGGATATTTGGAGCAATTTGTGGCCTATGGTGAAAAAGGAAATATCTTCACATAAAAACTAGACAGGAGCATTTTGAGAAACTTCTTTTTGATGTGTGTATTCATCTCACAGAGTTGAACCTTTCTTTTCATTTAGCAATTTGGAGAAAGTCTCTTGGTAGTATAAGTGGAGTTATATTTGCGAGCGGTTTAAGGCCTATGGTGCCAAAGGAAATACCTTGACATAAAATGCAGACAGAAGCTGTTTGAGAAAACTCTTTGTGACATTTCCATTCATCTCTAATAGTTGGCCATTTCCTTTCATTGAGCAGTTTGGAAGCAGTCTTTTTCTACAAACTGCAAAGGGATATTTCTGAGCGGTTTGGGGCCAACGGTGAAAAATAAATATCTTCCCATGAAAACTAGACAGAAGCTTTCTGACAAATTTCTTAGTGATGTGCACGTTTGTCACACGGAATTGAACCCTTCTTCTGATTGAGCAGTTTGGAATCAGTCTTTTTGTAGAATCTGTGAATGTGTATTTAGAGAGTTTTAAGGCCTAGGGTGCAAGAGGCAATGTCTTCACATAAAAACGACACAGTAGCTTTCTGAGAAACTTCTTTGTGATGTGTCCATTCATCGCACAGAGTGGAACCTTTCTTTTGATTGAGGAGTTTGTAAAATGTCTTTTCTTAGAATCTGCAAAGGGATATTTGTGAGCCCTTTATGGCCTTTGTTGAAATATGAAATATCTTCACATAAAAAGTAGACAGAAGATTTCTGAGAAACTTCTTTGTGATGTGTGAATTCATGTCACAGAATTCAACCTTTCTTTTGATTCAGCAGTTGGAGACAGTCTTTTGTAGAAGCTGCAAAGGGAAATTTCTTAGACCTTTGAGGCCTATGGTGAAAAAGAAATATCTTCACATAAAAACTAGACAGAAGATTTCTGAGAAACTTCTTTGTGATGTGTGCCTTCATCTCACTGTGTTGAACCTTTCTTTTGATTGAGCAGTTTGGGAAGTCTTTCTGTAGAATCTGCAAATGGATATTTGGAGATATTTGAGGTCCTTGGTGAAAAAGGAAGTATCTTCACATAAAAACTAGACAGAATCATTCCGAGAAATTTTTTGTGATGTGTCCATTCACGTCACAGAGTTGAACCTTTCTTTTGATTGAGCAGTTTGGAAACTGTCTTTTTGTAGAACCTGCAAAGGGATATTTGTGAGCCCCTTATGGCCTGTGGTGAAATACGAAGTATCTTCACACAAAAACTAGACAGGAGCTTTCTGAGAAACTTCCTTGTGATGTGTGCATTCACCTCACAGAGTTGAACCTTTCTTTTGATTGAGCAGGTTGGAAAGAGGCTTATTGTACAATCCGCAAAGGGATAATTCTGATCCATTTGAGGCCTATGGTGAAAGAGAAATATCTTCACATAAAAACTAGACAGAAGCTTTCTAAGAAACTTCGGTGTGATGTGTGCTTTCATCTCACAGAATTGAAACTTTCTTTTGATTGAGGAGTTTGGAAACACTCTTTTTCTATAATCTGCAAATGGATATTTGGAGAGATTTTGAGGCCCATGTGGAAAAACGAAACATCTTCGCGTAAAAACTAAACAGAAACATTCTGAGGAACTTCTTTGTGATGTGTGCATTCATCTCACATAGTTGAAACTTTCTTTGGATTGAGCAGTTTTGAAACAGTCCTTTTGTAGAATCTGCCAAGGGATACTTCTGAGCCCATTGAGTACTATGATGCACTGTGAAGTATCTTCACATAAAAACTAGACAGAAGTTTTCTGAGAAACTCCTTTTCGATGTGTCCGTTAATCTAACAGAGTTAAAACTTTCTTTTTATTGAGCAGTTTGGATACAGTCTTTTTGTAGAATCTGCAAAACATATTTGCGAGCCCTTTATTGCCTATGGTGAAATAGGAATCTTCTTCACATATAAACTAGACAGAAGCTTTCTGAGAAACTTCATTGAGATGTGTGCTTTCACCTCACAGAGTTAAACACTTTCTTTTGATTGAGCTGTTTGGAAACACTCTTTTTGTGAAATCTGTAAATAGTTATTAAGACTGATATGAGGCCAATGGTGGCAAAGGAAATATCTTTACATAAAAACTAAACAGAAGAATTCTGAGAAACTTCATTCTGACGTGGGCATTAACCTCAGAGAATTTAACCTTTCTTTGGATTCAGAAGTATGGAAACGGTCGTCTTTTAGAATCTGGAAAGGGATATTTCTTAGCCCTTTGAGGCCTACGGTGAAACTGGAAATATCTTCACATGAAAAGTAGACCGAAGCATTCCGAGGAACTTCTTTGTGATGTCTCCATTCATCTGACAGAGTTGAAGGTTTCTTTTAATTCAGCACTGTGGAAACCATATTTTTGTAGAATCTGCAAAGGGATATTTTTGAGACCTTTGAAGCCTATAGTGAAATAGTAAATATCTTCACATAGAAACTAGACAGGAGCTTTCTGAGAAACTTCTTTGTGATGTGTGCATTCATCTCACAGTGTTGAAACTTTATTTTATTTGAGCAGTTTAGAGACAGTCTCTTTCTGCAATCTGCAAAGGTATATTTCTGAGCCATTTGAGGTCTGTGGTGAAAAAGGATTATCTTCACATTTAAACTAGACAGAAGAATTCTGAGAAACTTCTTTGTGATGTGTGCATTCATCTCAGGTAGGTGAAATTTTCTTTTGATGGAGCAGTTTGGAAACAGTCTTTTTCTAGTATCTGCAGAAGGATATTTGTGAGCGGTGTAAGGACTACGCTGAAAAAGGAAATATCTACACATAAAAACTAGAGAGAAGATTTCTGAGAAACTTTTTTGTGATGGGTGCTTTCATCTCACAGAGTTGAAAATTTCTTTTGATTGAGCAGTTTGGAAACAGTCTTTTCGTATCATCTGCAAAGGGATGTTTGGAGCGCTTTGTGGCCTAAGGTGAAAATGGAAATATCTTCACATAAAATCTAGACAGAAGCATTCTGAGAAACTTCTTTGTGATGTGTTCATTCATCTCACAATGTTGAACGTTTCTTTTGATTGAGAGGTTTGTAAACAGAACTTTTGTAGAATCTGCAAAGGGATATTTGTGAGCCCCTTGATTCCTATGGCAAAATAGGAATTATCTTGTCATAAAAACTAGACAGGAGAATTCTGAGAAACTTCTTTGTGATGAGTGCATTCAACTCACATAGTTGAAACATTCTATATGGACCAGTTTGGAAACAGTCTTTTTGTAGTACCTGCAGAGGGATATTTTTGAGTGGTTTAAAGACTATGGTGAAAAAGGAAATATCTTCACATAATAACCAGACAGAAGCTTTCTGAGAAACTTCTTTGTGATGTGTGCTTTCGTCTCACAGAGTTGAGCCTTTCTTTTGATTGACCAGTTTGGAAACATTCTTTCTGTAGAATCCGCAAATGGATATTTGGAGCAATTTGCGGCCTACGGTGAAGAAGGAAATATCTTCACATAAAAACTAGACAGAAGCATTTTGAGAAACTTCTTTTTGATGTGTGTATTCATCTCCCAGAGTTGAACGTTTCTTTTGATTTAGCAATTTGGAGAAAGTCTCTTGGTAGTATAAGCGGAGTTATGTTTGTGAGTGGTTTAAGGCCTACGGTGCCAAAGGAAATACCTTCACATAAAATGCAGACAGAAGCTTTTTGAGAAAACTCTTTGTGACATGTCCATTCATCTCTAATAGTTGACCATTTCTTCTCATTGAGCAGTTTGGAAACAGTCTTTTCCTACAAACTGCAAAGGGACATTTCTGAGCCGTTTGGGGCCAATGGTGAAAAATAAATATCTTCACATGAAAACTAGACAAAAGCTTTCTGACAAATTGCTTTGTGATGTGCAAGTTTGTCACACGGAATTGAACTTTTCTTCTGATTGAGCAGTTTGGAATCAGTCTTTTTGTAGAATCTGTGAATGTATATTTAGAGAGTTTTAAGGCCTAGAGTGAAAAAGGAAACGTCTTCACATAAAAACGACACAGTAGCTTTCTGAGAAACTTCTTTGTGATGTGTCCATTCATCGCACAGAGTGAAACCTTTCTTTTGATTGAGGAGTTTGGAAAATGTCTTTTCTTAGAATCTGCAAAGGGATATTTGTGAGCCCTTTATGGCCTTTGTTGAAATATGAAATGTCTTCACGTAAAAAGTAGACAGAAGATTTCTGAAAAACCTCTTTGTGATGTGTGAATTCATGTCACAGAATTCAACCTTCCTTTCAGTTGAGCAGTTTGGAACCAGTCTTTTGTAGAAGCTGCAGAGGGAAATTTCTTAGCTGCTTGAGGCCTATGGTGAACAAGAAATAGCCTCACATGTAAAGTAGACAGA
>NC_000021.9:11093187-11113857 GCF_000001405.40 Homo sapiens
TGCATTCTCAGAAAGTTCTTTGTGATGTGTGCATTCAAATCACAGATTTGAACATACCTTGTCATAGAGCAGTTTTGAAACACTCGTTTCGTAGAATCTGCAACTGGGTATTTGGACTTCTTTGAGGCCTTCGTCGGAAACGGGAATATCTTCACATAAGAACTAGACAGAAGAATTCTGGGGAATTTCTTTGTGATGTGTGCATTCAACTCACAGAGTTGAACCTTTCTGTTGATAGAGCAGTTTGGAAACACTCTTTTCGCAAAATCTGCAGAGTGGATATTTGTACTGCTTAGAGGCCTTCGTTGGAAACGGGAATATCTCCACATAAAAACTAGACAGAAGCATTCTCAGAAACTTCTTTGTGATCTGCACATTCAACACAAAGAGTAGAATCTTCCTTTTGATAGAGCAGTTTTTAAACACTCTTTTTGTAGAATCTGCAAGTGGACATTTGGAAAGCTTTGAGGCCTGTGGTGGAAAAGGAAATACCTTCACATAAAAACCAGACGGAAGCATTCTCAGAAACTTCTTTGTATTGTTTGCATTCAACCCACTGAGTTGAACACACCTTTTCACAGAGCAGTTTTGAAACACTCTTTTTGTAGAATCTGCAAGTGGATATATGGAGTGCTTTGAGGCCTTCTTTGTAAACGGGAATATCTTCACATAAAAACTAGAGAGAAGCATTCTCAGAGCCTTCTTTGTGATGTGTGCATTCAACTCACAGAGCTGAACCTTTCTTTTGATAGAGGTGTTTGAAGCACTGTTTTTTTAGAATCTGCAAGTGGATATATTGAGTGCTTTGAGGCCTTCTTTGTAAACGGGAATATCTTCACATAAAAACTAGAGAGAAGCATTCTCAGAGCCTTCTTTGTGATGTGTGCATTCAACTCACAGAGCTGAACCTTTCTTTTCATAGAGCTGTTTGGAAGCACTGTTTTTTTAGAATCCGCATGTGGAAATTTTCAGAGCTTCGAGGCCTGTGGTGGAGAAGGAAATATCTTCACATAAAAACTAGACAGAAGCATTCTCAGAAACTTGTTTGTGACGTTTGCATTCAACTCACAGAGTTGAACATACCTTTTCATAGAGCAGTTTTGAAACACTCTTTTCGTAGGATCTGCAAGTGGATATTTGGACTGCTTTGAGGCCTTCGTTGGAAAGAGGAATATCTTCACATAAAAACTAGACGGAAGCATTCTCAGAAACTTCTTTGTGATGTGTGAATTCAACTCACAGAGTTGAAGCTTCCTATTGATAGAGCAGTTTTGAAAAACCGTTTTTGTAGAATCTGCCAGTGGATATTTGGAGAGCTTTGAGGCCTACGGTGGAAAAGGAAATATCTTCACATAAAAACCAGACACAAAGATTCTCAGAAACTTCTTTGTGACGCTTGCACTCAACTCACAGAGTTGAACACACCTTTTCATAGAGCAGTTTTGAAGCACTCTTTTCGTAGAATCTGCAAGTGTATATTTGGAATGCTTTGAGGCCTTCATTGTAAACGAGAATATCTTCACATAAAAACGAGACAGAAGAATTCTCAGCAACTACTTTGTGATGATTGCATTCAACTCACTGTGTTAATCTTTATTTTGATAGGGCAGTTTTGAAACACTGTTTTTGTAGCATCTGCAAGTGGTCATTTGGAGAGCTTTGAGGCCTATGGTGGAAAAGGAAATATCTTCACATAAAAACAGGACAGAAGCATTTTCAGAATCTCCGCTGTGATGTTTGCATTGAACTCACAGAGTTGAACGTCCCTTTTCATAGAGCAGTTTTGAAACACTCTTCGTAGAATCTGCCAGTGGATATTTGGACTGATTTGAGGCCTTTGTTGGACACGGGAATATCTTCATATAAAAACTAGAAAGAAGAATTCTCAGAAACTTCTTTGTGATGTGTGCATTCAACTCAGAGAGTTGAACTTTTCTTTTGATAGAGCAGTTTTGAAACAGACTTTTTGCAGAATCTGCAAGTGGACATTTGGGAAGCTTTGAGGCCTATGGTGGAAAATGATATACCTTCACATAAAAACCAGACAGATGCATTTTCAGAAACTTCTTTGCGATGTTTGCATTCAACTCACAGTGTTAACCTTTATTTTCATAGAACAGTTTTGAAACACTGTTTTTGTAGCATCTGCAAGTGGTCATTTGGAGAGCTTTGAGGCCTATTGTGGAAAAGGAAATATCTCCACATAAAAACTGGACAGAAGCATTCTCAGAATCTCCTCTGTGATGTTTGCATTCAACTCACAGAGTTGAACATACCTTTTCATAGAGCAGTTTTGAAACACTCTTTTCGTAGAATCCACAAGTGGTTATTTGGACTGATTTGAGGCCTTTGTTGGAAACGGGAATACCTTCACATAAAATCTAGAAAGAAGAATTCTCAGAAACTTCTTTGTGATATGTGCATTCAACTCAGAGAGTTGAACTTTTCTTTTCATAGAGCAGTTTTGAAACAGACTTTTTGTAGAATCTGCAAGTGGACATTTGGGAAGCTTTGAGGCCTATGGTGGAAAATGATATACCTTCACATAAAAAGAAGACAGAAGCATTTTCAGAAACTTCTTTGTGATGTTTGCATTCAACTCACAGAGATGAAATACCTTTTCATAGCGCAGTTTTGAAAAAATCTTTTCGTAGTATCTGCAAGGGGATATTTGGACTGCTTTGAGGCCTTCAGTGGAAACAGAAATATCTTAACATAAAAATTAGACAGAAGCATTCTCAGAAACTTCTTTGTGATGAGGCCATTCAACTCACAGAGCTGAACCACTCTTTTGAAGGAGCAGTTTGAAACATTCTTTTTGTAGAATCTGCAAGTGGACATTTGGAGAGCTTTGAGGCCTACAGTGGAAAAAGAAATATCTTCACATAAAAACTGGACAGAAGCATTCTCAAAAACATCTTTGTGATATTTGCATTCAACTCACAGATTTGAAAATAACTTTTCGTAGAGCAGTTTTGAAACACTCTTTTTGTAGAATCTGCAAGAGGATATTTGGACTGCTTTAAGGACCTCGTTGGAAACGGGAATATCTTCACATAAAAACTAGACAGAAGCATTCTCAGAAACACCTTTGTGATGTGGGCATTCAACTCAGAGAGTTGAACCTTTCTTTTGATAGAGCAGTTTTGAAACACTGTTTTTATAGAATCTGCAAGTGGACATTTGGAGACTTTTGAAGCATATGGTGGAAATGGAAATACCTTCCCATGAAAACTAGACAGAAACATTCTCAGTACCTACTTTGTTATGTTTGCATTCAACTCACAGAGATGGACATACCTTTTCATAGAGCAGTTTTGGAAAACTCTTTTGGTAGAATATGCAAATGGATAATTGGAACGCTTTCAGGCCTTCGTTGGAAATGTGAATATCTTCAAATAAAAACTAGACAAAAGCATTCTCAGAAACTTCTTTGTGATGTGGGCATTCAACTCACAGGCTTGAACCTTTCCTTTCATAGAGCAGTCTTGAAACACTCTTTTTGAAGAATCAGCAAGTGGACATTTGGAGAGCTTTGAGGCCTATGGTGAGAAAGAAAATATCTTCACATAAAAACCAGACAGAAGCATTCTGAGAAACTTCTTTGTGCTGTTTGCATTCAACTCACAAAGTTGAAAATACCTTTTCATAGAGGAGTTTTGAAACACTCTTTTCGTACAATCTGCAAGTGGATATTTGGACTGCTTTTAGGTTTTCTTTGGAAACAGGAATATCTTTACATAAAAACTAGACAGATGCATTCTCAGAAAGTTGTTGGTGATGTGTGCATTCAACTCACAGATATGAACATACCTTGTCATAGAGCAGTTTTGAAACACTCGTTTCGTAGAATCTGCAAGTGGATATTTGGACTGCTTTGAGGCCTTCGTCGGAAACGGGAATATCTTCACATAAGAACTAGACAGAAGAATTCTGGGAAATTTCTTTGTGATGTGTGCATTCAACTCACAGAGTTGAACCTTTCTGTTGATAGAGCAGTTTGGAAACACTCTTTTCGCAAAATCTGCAAAGTGGATATTTGTACTGCTTAGAGGCCTTCGTTGGAAACGGGAATATCTCCACATAAAAACTAGACAGAAGCATTCTCAGAAACTTCTTTGTGATCTGCACATTCAACACAAAGAGTTGAGTCTTCCTTTTGATAGAGCAGTTTTTAAACACTCTTTTTGTAGAATCTGCAAGTGGACATTTGGAAAGCTTTGAGGCCTGTGGTGGAAAAGGAAATACCTTCACATAAAAACCAGATGGAAGCATTCTCAGAAACTTCTTTGTATTGTTTGCATTCAACCCACAGAGTTGAACATACCTTTTCACAGAGCAGTTTTGAAACACTCTTTTTGTAGAATCTGCAAGTGGATATACGGAGTGGTTTGAGGCCTTCTTTGTAAACGGGAATATCTTCACATAAAAACTAGAGAGAAGCATTCTCAGAGCCTTCTTTGTGATGTGTGCATTCAACTCACAGAGCTGAACCTTTCTTTTGATAGAGCTGTTTTGAAGCACTGTTTTTTTAGAATCTGCAGGTGGATATATGGAGTGCTTTGAGGCCTTCTTTGTAAACGGGAATATCTTCACATAAAAACTAGAGAGAAGCATTCTCAGAGCCTTCTTTGTGATGTGTGCATTCAACTCACAGAGCTGAACCTTTCTTTTGATAGAGCTGTTTTGAAGCACTGTTTTTATAGAATCTGCATGTGGAAATTTTCAGAGCTTCGAGGCCTGTGGTGGAGAAGGAAATATCTTCACATAAAAACTAGACAGAAGCATTCTCAGAAACTTGTTTGTGACGTTTGCATTCAACTCACAGAGTTGAACATACCTTTTCATAGAGCAATTTTGAAACACTCTTTTCGTAGGATCTGCAAATGGATATTTGGACTGCTTTGAGGCCTTCGTTGGAAAGAGGAATATCTTCACATAAAAACTAGACGGAAGCATTCTCAGAAACTTCTTTGTGATGTGTGAATTCAACTCACAGAGTTGAAGCTTTCTATTGATAGAGCAGTTTTGAAAAACCGTTTTTTGTAGAATCTGCCAGTGGACATTTGGAGAGCTTGGAGGCCTACGGTGGAAAAGGAAATATCTTCACATAAAAACCAGACACAAAGATTCTCAGAAACTTCTTTGTGACGCTTGCACTCAACTCACAGAGTTGAACACACCTTTTCATAGAGCAGTTTTGAAGCAGTCTTTTCGTAGAATCTGCAAGTGTATATTTGGAATGCTTTGAGGCCTTCATTGTAAACGAGAATATCTTCACATAAAAACGAGACAGAAGCATTCTCAGCAACTACTTTGTGATGATTGCATTCAACTCACTGTGTTAACCTTTATTTTGATAGGGCAGTTTTGAAACACTGTTTTTGTAGCATCTGCAAGTGGTCATTTGGAGAGCTTTGAGGCCTATGGTGGAAAAGGAAATATCTTCACATAAAAACAGGACAGAAGCATTTTCAGAATCTCCGCTCTGATGTTTGCATGGAACTCACACAGTTGAACGTCCCTTTTCATAGAGCAGTTTTGAAACACTCTTCGTAGAATCTGCCAGTGGATATTTGGACTGATTTGAGGCCTTTGTTGGACACGGGAGTATCTTCATATAAAAACTAGAAAGAAGAATTCTCAGAAACTTCTTTGTGATGTGTGCATTCAACTCAGAGAGTTGAACTTTTCTTTTGATAGAGCAGTTTTGAAACAGACTTTTTGCAGAATCTGCAAGTGGACATTTGGGAAGCTTTGAGGCCTATGGTGGAAAATGATATACCTTCACATAGAAACCAGACAGAAGCATTTTCAGAAACTTCTTTGCGATGTTTGCATTCAACTCACAGTGTTAACCTTTATTTTCATAGAACATTTTTGAAACACTCTTTTTGTAGCATCTGCAAGTGGTCATTTGGAGAGCTTTGAGGCCTATGGTGGAAAAGGAAATATCTCCACATAAAAACTGGACAGAAGCATTCTCAGAATCTCCTCTGTGATGTTTGCATTCAACTCACAGAGTTGAACATACCTTTTCATAGAGCAGTTTTGATACACTCCTTTCGTAGAATCCACAAGTGGATATTTGGACTGATTTGAGGCCTTTGTTGGAAACGGGAATACCTTCACATAAAATCTAGAAAGAAGAATTCTCAGAAACTTCTTTGTGATATGTGCATTCAACTCAGAGAGTTGAACTTTTGTTTTGATAGAGCAGTTTTGAAACAGACATTTGTAGAATCTGCAAGTGGACATTTGGGAAGCTTTGAGGCCTATGGTGGAAAATGATATACCTTCACATAAAAAGAAGACAGAAGCATTTTCAGAAACTTCTTTGTGATGTTTGCATTCAACTCACAGAGATGAAATACCTTTTCATAGCGCAGTTTTGAAAAACTCTTTTCGTAGTATCTGCAAGGGGATATTTGGACTGCTTTGAGGCCTTCAGTGGAAACAGAAATATCTTAACATAAAAATTAGACAGAAGCATTCTCACAAACTTCTTTGTGATGAGGCCATTCAACTCAAAGAGCTGAACCACTCTTTTGAAGGAGCAGTTTGAAACATTGTTTTTGTAGAATCTGCAAGTGCAAAGCCAAGAGAGCTTTGAGGCCTACAGTGGAAAAGGAAATATCTTCACATAAAAACTGGACAGAAGCATTCTCAAAAACATCTTTGTGATATTTGCATTCAACTCACAGAGTTGAAAATAACTTTTCGTAGAGCAGTTTTGAAACACTCTTTTTGTAGAATCTGCAAGAGGATATTTGGACTGCTTTAAGGACCTCGTTGGAAACGGGAATATCTTCACATAAAAAGTAGACAGAAGCATTCTCAGAAACACCTTTTTTGATGTGGGCATTCAACTCAGAGATTTGAACCTTTCTTTTGATAGAGCAGTTTTGAAGCACTTACTTTGTACAATCTGCAAGTGGACATTTGGAGAGCTTTGAGGCCTACGGTGGAAAAGGAAATAGCCTCACATAAAAACTAGATAGAAACATTCTCATTACCTACTTTGTTATGTTTGCATTCAACTCACAGAGATGGACATACCTTTTCATAGAGCAGTTTTGGAAAACTCTTTCGGTGGAATATGCAAATGGATAATTGGAACGCTTTCAGGCCTTCGTTGGAAATGTGAATATCTTCAAATAAAAACTAGACAAAAGCATTCTCAGAAACTTCTTTGTGATGTGGGCATTCAACTCACAGACTTGAACCTTTCTTTTCATAGAGCAGTCTTGAAACACTCTTTTTGAAGAATCGGCAAGTGGACATTTGGAGAGCTTTGAGGCCTATGGTGAGAAAGAAAATATCTTCACATAAAAACCAGACAGAAGCATTCTGAGAAACTTTTTTGTGCTGTTTGCATTCAACTCACAAAGTTGAAAATACCTTTTCATAGAGGAGTTTTGAAACACTCTTTTCGTAGAATCTGCAAGTGGATATTTGGACTGCTTTTAGGTTTTCTTTGGAAACAGGAATATCTTTACATAAAAACTAGACAGATGCATTCTCAGAAAGTTCTTTGTGATGTGTGCATTCAACTCACAGATTTGAACATACCTTGTCATAGAGCAGTTTTGAAACACTCGTTTCGTAGAATCTGCAAGTGGATATTTGGACTGCTTTGAGGCCTTCGTCGGAAACGGGAATATCTTCACATAAGAACTAGACAGAAGAATTCTGGGAAATTTCTTTGTGATGTGTGCATCCAACTCACAGAGTTGAACCTTTCTGTTGATAGAGCAGTTTGGAAACACTCTTTTGGCAAAATCTGCAGAGTGGATATTTGTACTGCTTAGAGGCCTTCGTTGGAAACGGGAATGTCTCCACATAAAAACTAGACAGAAGCATTCTCAGAAACTTCTTTGTGATCTGCACATTCAACACAAAGAGTTGAATCTTCCTTTTGAGAGAGCAGTTTTTAAACACTCTTTTTGTAGAATCTGCAAGTGGACATTTGGAAAGCTTTGAGGCCTGTGGTGGAAAAGGAAATACCTTCACATAAAAACCAGATGGAAGCATTCTCAGAAACTTCTTTGTATTGTTTGCATTCAACCCACAGAGTTGAACATACCTTTTCACAGAGCAGTTTTGAAACACTCCTTTTGTAGAATCTGTAAGTTGATATATGGAGTGCTTTGAGGCCTTCTTTGTAAACGGGAATATCTTCACATAAAAACTAGAGAGAAGCATTCTCAGAGCCTTCTTTGTGATGTGTGCATTCAACTCACAGAGCTGAACCTTTCTTTTGATAGAGCTGTTTTGAAGCACTGTTTTTTTAGAATCTGCAAGTGGATATATTGAGTGCTTTGAGGCCTTCTTTGTAAACGGGAATATCTTCACATAAAAACTAGAGAGAAGCATTCTCAGAGCCTTCTTTGTGATGTGTGCATTCAGCTCACGGAGCTGAACCTTTCTTTTGATAGAGCTGTTTTGAAGCACTGTTTTTTTAGAATCTGCATGTGGAAATTTTCAGAGCTTCGAGGCCTGTGGTGGAGAAGGAAATATCTTCACATAAAAACTAGACAGAAGCATTCTCAGAAACTTGTTTGTGACGTTTGCATTCAACTCACAGAGTTGAACATACCTTTTCATAGAGCAGTTTTGAAACACTCTTTTCGTAGGATCTGCAAATGGATATTTGGACTGCTTTGAGGCCTTCGTTGGAAAGAGGAATATCTTCACATAAAAACTAGAAGGAAGCATTCTCAGAAACTTCTTTGTGATGTGTGAATTCAACTCACAGAGTTGAAGCTTTCTATTGATAGAGCAGTTTTGAAAAACCGTTTTTGTAGAATCTGCCAGTGGATATTTGGAGAGCTTTGAGGCCTACGGTGGAAAAGGAAATATCTTCACATAAAAACCAGACACAAAGATTCTCAGAAACTTCTTTGTGACGTTTGCATTCAACTCACAGAGTTGAACACACCTTTTCATAGAGCAGTTTTGAAGCAGTCTTTTCGTAGAATCTGCAAGTGTATATTTGGAATGCTTTGAGGCCTTCATTGTAAACGAGAATATCTTCACATAAAAACGAGACAGAAGCATTCTCAGCAACTACTTTGTGATGATTGCATTCAACTCACTGTGTTAACCTTTATTTTGATAGGGCAGTTTGGAAACACTGTTTTTGTAGCATCTGCAAGTGGTCATTTGGAGAGCTTTGAGGCCTATGGTGGAAAAGGAAATATCTTCACATAAAAACAGGACAGAAGCATTTTCAGAATCTCCGCTGTGATGTTTGCATTCAACTCACAGAGTTGAACGTCCCTTTTCATAGGGCAGTTTTGAAACACTCTTCGTAGAATCTGCCAGTGGATATTTGGACTGATTGGAGGCCTTTGTTGGACACGGGAATATCTTCATATAAAAACTAGAAAGAAGAATTCTCAGAAACTTCTTTGTGATGTGTGCATTCAACTCAGCAGCAGTTGAACTTTTCTTTTGATAGAGCAGTTTTGAAACAGACTTTTTGCGGAATCTGCAAGTGGACATTTGGGAAGCTTTGAAGCCTATGGTGGAAAATGATATACCTTCACATAAAAACCAGACAGATGCATTTTCAGAAACTTCTTTGCGATGTTTGCATTCAACTCATAGTGTTAACCTTTATTTTCATAGAACAGTTTTGAAACACTGTTTTTGTAGCATCTGCAAGTGGTCATTTGGAGAGCTTTGAGGCCTATGGTGGAAAAGGAAATATCTCCACATAAAAACTGGACAGAAGCATTCTCAGAATCTCCTCTGTGATGTTTGCATTCAACTCACAGAGTTGAACATACCTTTTCATAGAGCAGTTTTGAAACACTCTTTTCGTAGAATCCACAAGTGGATATTTGGACTGATTTGAGGCCTTTGTTGGAAACGGGAATACCTTCACATAAAATCTAGAAAGAAGAATTCTCAGAAACTTCTTTGTGATGTGTGCATTCAACTCAGAGAGTTGAACTTTTCTTTTGATAGAGCAGTTTTGAAACAGACTTTTTGCAGAATCTGCAAGTGGACATTTGGGAAGCTTTGAGGCCTATGGTGGAAAATGATATACCTTCACATAAAAAGAAGACAGAAGCATTTTCAGAAACTTCTTTGTGATGTTTGCATTCAAGTCACAGAGATGAAATACCTTTTCATAGCGCAGTTTTGAAAACCTCTTTTCGTAGTATCTGCAAGGGGATATTTGGACTGCTTTGAGGCCTTCAGTGGAAACAGAAATATCTTAACATAAAAATTAGACAGAAGCATTCTCAGAAACTTCTTTGTGATGAGGCCATTCAACTCACAGAGCTGAACCAGTCTTTTGAAGGAGCAGTTTGAAACATTCTTTTTGTAGAATCTGCAAGTGCAAAGCCAAGAGAGCTTTGAGGCCTACAGTGGAGAAGGAAATATCTTCACATAAAAACTGGACAGAAGCATTCTCAAAAACATCTTTGTGATATTTGCATTCAACTCACAGAGTTGAAAATAACTTTTCATAGAGCAGTTTTGAAACACTCTTTTTGTAGAATCTGCAAGAGGATATTTGGACTGCTTTAAGGACCTCGTTGGAAACGGGAATATCTTCACATAAAAACTAGACAGAAGCATTCTCAGAAACACCTTTGTGATGTGGGCATTCAACTCAGAGAGTTGAACCTTTCTTTTGATAGAGCTGTTTTGAAACACTGTTTTTATAGAATCTGCAAGTGGACATTTGGAGACTTTTGAAGCATATGGTGGAAATGGAAATACCTTCCCATGAAAACTAGACAGAAACATTCTCAGTACCTACTTTGTTATGTTTGCATTCAACTCACAGAGATGGACATACCTTTTCATAGAGCAGTTTTGGAAAACTCTTTTGGTGGAATATGCAAATGGATAATTGGAACGCTTTCAGGCCTTCGTTGGAAATGTGAATATCTTCAAATAAAAACTAGACAAAAGCATTCTCAGAAACTTCTTTGTGATGTGGGCATTCAACTCACAGACTTGAACCTTTCTTTTCATAGAGCAGTCTTGAAACACTCTTTTTGAAGAATCGGCAAGTGGACATTTGGAGAGCTTTGAGGCCTATGGTGAGAAAGAAAATATCTTCACATAAAAGCCAGACAGAAGCATTCTGAGAAACTTCTTTGTGCTGTTTGCATTCAACTCACAAAGTTGAAAATACCTTTTCATAGAGGAGTTTTGAAACACTCTTTTCATAGAATCTGCAAGTGGATATTTGGACTGCTTTTAGGTTTTCTTTGGAAACAGGAATATCTTTACATAAACACTAGACAGATGCATTCTCAGAAAGTTCTTTGTGATGTGTGCATTCAACTCACAGATTTGAACATATCTTGTCATAGAGCAGTTTTGAAACACTCGTTTCGTAGAATCTGCAAGTGGATATTTGGACTGCTTTGAGGCCTTCGTCGGAAACGGGAATATCTTCACATAAGAACTAGACAGAAGAATTCTGGGAAATTTCTTTGTGATGTGTGCATGCAACTCACAGAGTTGAAACTTTCTGTTGATAGAGCAGTTTGGAAACACTCTTTTCGCAAAATCTGCAAAGTGGATATTTGTATTGCTTAGAGGCCTTCGTTGGAAACGGGAATATCTCCACATAAAAACTAGACAGAAGCATTCTCAGAAACTTCTTTGTATTGTTTGCATTCAACCCACAGAGTTGAACATACCTTTTCACAGAGCAGTTTTTAAACACTCTTTTTGTAGAATCTGCAAGTGGACATTTGGAAAGCTTTGAGGCCTGTGGTGGAAAAGGAAATACCTTCACATAAAAACCAGATGGAAGCATTCTCAGAAACTTCTTTGTATTGTTTGCATTCAACCCACAGAGTTGAACATACCTTTTCACAGAGCAGTTTTGAAACACTCTTTTTGTAGAATCTGCAAGTGGATATATGGAGTGCTTTGAGGCCTTCTTTGTAAACGGGAATATCTTCACATAAAAACTAGAGAGAAGCATTCTCAGAGCCTTCTTTGTGATGTGTGCATTCAACTCACAGAGCTGAACCTTTCTTTTGATAGAGCTGTTTTGAAGCACTGTTTTTTTAGAATCTGCAAGTGAATATATTGAGTGCTTTGAGGCCTTCTTTGTAAACGGGAATATCTTCACATAAAAACTAGAGAGAAGCATTCTCAGAGCCTTCTTTGTGATGTGTGCATTCAACTCACAGAGCTGAACCTTTCTTTTGATAGAGCTGTTTTGAAGCACTGTTTTTTTAGAATCTGCATGTGGAAATTTTCAGAGCTTCGAGGCCTGTGGTGGAGAAGGAAATATCTTCACATAGAAACTAGACAGAAGCATTCTCAGAAACTTGTTTGTGACGTTTGCATTCAACTCACAGAGTTGAACATACCTTTTCATAGAGCAGTTTTGAAACACTCTTTTCGTAGGATCTGCAAATGGATATTTGGACTGCTTTGAGGCCTTCGTTGGAAAGAGGAATATCTTCACATAAAAACTAGACGGAAGCATTCTCAGAAACTTGTTTGTGATGTGTGAATTCAACTCACAGAGTTGAAGCTTTCTATTGATAGAGCAGTTTTGAAAAACCGTTTTTGTAGAATCTGCCAGTGGACATTTGGAGAGCTTGGAGGCCTACGGTGGAAAAGGAAATATCTTCACATAAAAACCAGACACAAAGATTCTCAGAAACTTCTTTGTGACGTTTGCATTCAACTCACAGAGTTGAACACACCTTTTCATAGAGCAGTTTTGAAGCACTCTTTTCGTAGAATCTGCAAGTGTATATTTGGAATGCTTTGAGGCCTTCATTGTAAACGACAATATCTTCACATGAAAACGAGACAGAAGCATTCTCAGCAACTACTTTGTGATGATTGCATTCAACTCACTGTGTTAACCTTTATTTTGATAGGGCAGTTTGTAAACACTGTTTTGGTAGCATCTGCAAGTGTTCATTTGGAGAGCTTTGAGGCCTATGGTGGAAAATGATATACCTTCACATATAAACCAGACAGAAACATTTTCAGAATCTCCGCTGTGATGTTTGCATTGAACTCACAGAGTTGAACGTCCCCTTTCATAGAGCAGTTTTGAAACACTTTTCGTAGAATCTGCCAGTGGATATTTGGACTGATTGGAGGCCTTTGTTGGACACGGGAATATCTTCATATAAAAACTAGAAAGAAGAATTCTCAGAAACTTCTTTGTGATGTGTGCATTCAACTCAGAGAGTTGAACTTTTCTTTTGATAGAGCAGTTTTGCAACAGACTTTTTGCAGAATCTGCAAGTGGACATTTGGGAAGCTTTGAGGCCTATGGTGGAAAATGATATACCTTCACATAAAAACCAGACAGAAGCATTCTCAGCAACTAATTTGTGATGATTGCATTCAACTCACAGTGTTAACCTTTATTTTCATAGAACAGTTTTGAAACACTGTTTTTGTAGCATCTGCAAGTGGTCATTTGGAGAGCTTTGAGGCCTATGGTGGAAAAGGAAATATCTCCACATAAAAACTGGACAGAAGCATTCTCAGAATCTCCTCTGTGATGTTTGCATTCAACTCACTCAGTTGAACATACCTTTTCATAGAGCAGTTTTGAAACACTCTTTTCGTAGAATCCACAAGTGGATATTTGGACTGATTTGAGGCCTTTGTTGGAAACGGGAATACCTTCACATAAAATCTAGAAAGAAGAATTCTCAGAAACTTCTTTGTGATATGTGCATTCAACTCAGAGAGTTGAACTTTTCTTTCGATAGAGCAGTTTTGAAACAGACTTTTTGTAGAATCTGCAAGTGGACATTTGGGAAGCTTTGAGGCCTATGGTGGAAAATGATATACCTTCACATAAAAAGAAGACAGAAGCATTTTCAGAAACTTCTTTGTGATGTTTGCATTCAACTCACAGAGATGAAATACCTTTTCATAGCGCAGTTTTGAAAAACTCTTTCCGTAGTATCTGCAAGGGGATATTTGGACTGCTTTGAGGCCTTCAGTGGAAACAGAAATATCTTAACATAAAAATTAGACAGAAGCATTCTCAGAAACTTCTTTGTGATGAGGCCATTCAACTCACAGAGCTGAACCACTCTTTTGAAGGAGCAGTTTGAAACATTCTTTTTGTAGAATCTGCAAGTGCAAAGCCAAGAGAGCTTTGAGGCCTACAGTGGAAAAGGAAATATCTTCACATAAAAACTGAACAGAAGCATTCTCAAAAACATCTTTGTGATATTTGCATTCAACTCACAGAGTTGAAAATAACTTTTCGTAGAGCAGTTTTGAAACACTCTTTTTGTAGAATCTGCAAGAGGATATTTGGACTGCTTTAAGGACCTCGTTGGAAACGGGAATATCTTCACATAAAAACTAGAGAGAAGCATTCTCCGAAACACCTTTGTGATGGGGGCATTCAACACAGAGAGTTGAACCTTTCTTTTGATAGAGCAGTTTTGAAACACTGTTTTTATAGAATCTGCAAGTGGACATTTGGAGACTTTTGAAGCATATGGTGGAAATGGAAATACCTTCCCATGAAAACTAGACAGAAACATTCTCAGTACCTACTTTGTTATGTTTGCATTCAACTCACAGAGATGGACATACCTTTTCATAGAGCAGTTTTGGAAAACTCTTTTGGTAGAATATGCAAATGCATAATTGGAACGCTTTCAGGCCTTCGTTGGAAATGTGAATATCTTCAAATAAAAACTAGACAAAAGCATTCTCAGAAACTTCTTTGTGATGTGGGCATTCAACTCACAGACTTGAACCTTTCTTTTCATAGAGCAGTCTTGAAACACTCTTTTTGAAGAATCTGCAAATGGACATTTGGAGAGCTTTGAGGCCTATGGTGAGAAAGAAAATATCTCCACATAAAAACCAGACAGAAGCATTCTGAGAAACTTCTTTGTGCTGTTTGCATTCAACTCACAAAGTTGAAAATACCTTTTCATAGAGGAGTTTTGAAACACTCTTTTCGTAGAATCTGCAAGTGGATATTTGGACTGCTTTTAGGTTTTCTTTGGAAACAGGAATATCTTTACATAAACACTAGACAGATGCATTCTCAGAAAGTTCTTTGTGATGTGTGCATTCAACTCACAGATTTGAACATACCTTGTCATAGAGCAGTTTTGAAACACTCGTTTCGTAGAATCTGCAAGTGGATATTTGGACTGCTTTGAGGCCTTCATCGGAAACGGGAATATCTTCACATAAGAACTAGACAGAAGAATTCTGGGAAATTTCTTTGTGATGTGTGCATTCAACTCACAGAGTTGAACCTTTCTGTTGATAGAGCAGTTTGGAAACACTCTTTTCGCAAAATCTGCAGAGTGGATATTTGTACTGCTTAGAGGCCTTCGTTGGAAACGGGAATATCTCCACATAAAAACTAGACAGAAGCATTCTCAGAAACTTCCTTGTATTGTTTGCATTCAACCCACAGAGTTGAACATACCTTTTCACAGAGCAGTTTTTAAACACTCTTTTTGTAGAATCTGCAAGTGGACATTTGGAAAGCTTTCAGGCCTGTGGTGGAAAAGGAAATACCTTCACATAAAAACCAGATGGAAGCATTCTCAGAAACTTCTTTGTATTGTTTGCATTCAACCCACAGAGTTGAACATACCTTTTCACAGAGCAGTTTTGAAACACTCTTTTTGTAGAATCTGCAAGTGGATATATGGAGTGCTTTGAGGCCTTCTTTTTAAACGGGAATATCTTCACATAAAAACTAGAGAGAAGCATTCTCAGAGCCTTCTTTGTGATGTGTGCATTCAACTCACAGAGCTGAACCTTTCTTTTGATAGAGCTGTTTTGAAGCACTGTTTTTTTAGAATCTGCAAGTGGATATATGGAGTGCTTTGAGGCCTTCTTTGTAAACGGGAATATCTTCACATAAAAACTAGAGAGAAGCATTCTCAGAACCTTCTTTGTGATGTGTGCATTCAACTCACGGAGCTGAACCTTTCTTTTGATAGAGCTGTTTTGAAGCACTGTTTTTTTAGAATCTGCATGTGGAAATTTTCAGAGCTTCGAGGCCTGTGGTGGAGAAGGAAATATCTTCACATAAAAACTAGACAGAAGCATTCTCAGAAATTTGTTTGTGACGTTTGCATTCAACTCACAGAGTTGAACATACCTTTTCATAGAGCAGTTTTGAAACACTCTTTTCGTAGGATCTGCAAATGGATATTTGGACTGCTTTGAGGCCTTCGTTGGAAAGAGGAATATCTTCACATAAAAACTAGACGGAAGCATTCTCAGAAACTTCTTTGTGATGTTTGAATTCAACTCTCAGAGTTGAAGGTTTCTATTGATAGAGCAATTTTGAAAAACCGTTTTTGTAGAATCTGTCAGTGGACATTTGGAGAGCTTGGAAGCCTGCGGTGGAAAAGGAAATATCTTCACATAAAAACCAGACACAAGAATTCTCAGAAACTTCTTTGTGATGTTTGCATTCAACGAAGAGAGTTGAACATACCTTTTCATAGAGCAGTTTTGAAACACTCTTTTCGTAGAATCTGCAAGTGTATATTTGGACTGCTTTGAGGCCTTCATTGTAAACGAGAATATCTTCACATAAAAACGAGACAGAAGCATTCTCAGCAACTACTTTGTGATGATTGCATTCAACTCACTGTGTTAACCTTTATTTTGATAGGGCAGTTTTGAAACACTGTTTTTGTAGCATCTGCAAGTGGTCATTTGGAGAGCTTTGAGGCCTATGGTGGAAAAAGAAATATCTTCACATAAAAACAGGACAGAAGCATTTTCAGAATCTCCGCTGTGATGTTTGCATTGAACTCACAGAGTTGAACGTCCCCTTTCATAGAGCAGTTTTGAAACACTCTTCGTAGAATCTGCCAGTGGATATTTGGACTGATTTGAGGCCTTTGTTGGACACGGGAATATCTTCATATAAAAACTAGAAAGAAGCATTCTCAGCAACTACTTTGTGATGATTGCATTCAACTCACTGTGTTAACCTTTATTTTGATAGGGCAGTTTGTAAACACTGTTTTGGTAGCATCTGCAAGTGTTCTTTTGGAGAGCTTTGAGGCCTATGGTGGAAAATGATATACCTTCACATATAAACCAGACAGAAGCATTTTCAGAAACTTCTTTGCGATGTTTGCATTCAACTCACAGTGTTAACCTTTATTTTCATAGAACAGTTTTGAAACACTGTTTTTGTAGCATCTGCAAGTGGTCATTTGGAGAGCTTTGAGGCCTATGGTGGAAAAGGAAATATCTCCACATAAAAACTGGACAGAAGCATTCTCAGAATCTCCTCTGTGAAGTTTGCATTCAACTCACAGAGTTGAACATACCTTTTCATAGAGCAGTTTTGAAACACTCTTTTCGTAGAATCCACAAGTGGATATTTGGACTGATTTGAGGCCTTTGTTGGAAACGGGAATACCTTCACATAAAATATAGAAAGAAGAATTCTCAGAAACTTCTTTGTGATATGTGCATTCAACTCAGAGAGTTGAACTTTTCTTTTGATAGAGCAGTTTTGAAACAGACTTTTTGTAGAATCTGCAAGTGGACATTTGGGAAGCTTTGAGGCCTATGGTGGAAAATGATATACCTTCACATAAAAAGAAGACAGAAGCATTTTCAGAAACTTCTTGTGATGTTTGCATTCAAGTCACAGAGATGAAATACCTTTTCATAGCGCAGTTTTGAAAAACTCTTTCCGTAGTATCTGCAAGGGGATATTTGGACTGCTTTGAGGCCTTCAGTGGAAACAGAAATATCTTAACATAAAAATTAGACAGAAGCATTCTCAGAAACTTCTTTGTGATGAGGCCATTCAACTCACAGAGCTGAACCACTCTTTTGAAGGAGCAGTTTGAAACATTCTTTTTGTAGAATCTGCAAGTGCAAAGCCAAGAGAGCTTTGAGGCCTACAGTGGAAAAGGAAATATCTTCACATAAAAACTGGACAGAAGCATTCTCAAAAACATCTTTGTGATATTTGCATTCAACTCACAGAGTTGAAAATAACTTTTCGTAGAGCAGTTTTGAAACACTCTTTTTGTAGAATCTGCAAGAGGATATTTGGACTGCTTTAAGGACCTCGTTGGAAACGGGAATATCTTCACATAAAAACTAGACAGAAGCATTCTCGGAAACACCTTTGTGATGTGGGCATTCAACTCAGAGAGTTGAACATTTCTTTTGATAGAGCAGTTTTGAAACACTGTTTTTATAGAATCTGCAAGTGGACATTTGGAGACTTTTGAAGCATATGGTGGAAATGGAAATACCTTCCCATGAAAACTAGACAGAATCATTCTCAGTACCTACTTTGTTAGGTTTGCATTCAACTCACAGAGATGGACATACCTTTTCATAGAGCAGTTTTGGAAAACTCTTTTGGTAGAATATGCAAATGGATAATTGGAACGCTTTCAGGCCTTCGTTGGAAATGTGAATATCTTCAAATAAAAACTAGACAAAAGCATTCTCAGAAACTTCTTTGTGATGTGGGCATTCAACTCACAGTACTTGAACCTTTCTTTTCATAGACCAGTCTTGAAACACTCTTTTTGAAGAATCTGCAAGTGGACATTTGGAGAGCTTTGAGGCCTATGGTGAGAAAGAAAATATCTTCACATAAAAACCAGACAGAAGCATTCTGAGAAACTTCTTTGTGCTGTTTGCATTCAACTCACAAAGTTGAAAATACCTTTTCATAGAGGAGTTTTGAAACACTCTTTTCGTAGAATCTGCAAGTGGATATTTGGACTGCTTTTAGGTTTTCTTTGGAAACAGGAATATCTTTACATAAAAACTAGACAGATGCATTCTCAGAAAGTTCTTTGTGATGTGTGCATTCAAATCACAGATTTGAACATACCTTGTCATAGAGCAGTTTTGAAACACTCGTTTCGTAGAATCTGCAAGTGGATATTTGGACTGCTTTGAGGCCTTCGTCGGAAACGGGAATATCTTCACATAAGAACTAGACAGAAGAATTCTGGGAAATTTCTTTGTGATGTGTGCATTCAACTCACAGAAGTTGAACCTTTCTGTTGATAGAGCAGTTTGGAAACACTCTTTTCGCAAAATCTGCAAAGTGGATATTTGTACTGCTTAGAGGCCTTCGTTGGAAACGGGAATATCTCCACATAAAAACTAGACAGAAGCATTCTCAGAAACTTCTTTGTGATCTGCACATTCAACACAAAGAGTTGAATCTTCCTTTTGATAGAGCAGTTTTTAAACACTCTTTTTGTAGAATCTGCAAGTGGACATTTGGAAAGCTTTGAGGCCTGTGGTGGAAAAGGAAATACCTTCACATAAAAACCAGATGGAAGCATTCTCAGAAACTTCTTTGTATTGTTTGCATTCAACCCACAGAGTTGAACATACCTTTTCACAGAGCAGTTTTGAAACACTCTTTTTGTAGAATCTGTAAGTTGATATATGGAGTGCTTTGAGGCCTTCTTTGTAAACGGGAATATCTTCACATAAAAACTAGACAGAAGCATTCTCAGAGCCGTCTTTGTGATGTGTGCATTCAACTTACAGAGCTGAACCTTTCTTTTGATAGAGCTGTTTTGAAGCACTGTTTTTTTAGAATCTGCAAGTGGATATATTGAGTGCTTTGAGGCCTTCTTTGTAAACGGGAATATCTTCACATAAAAACTAGAGAGAAGCATTCTCAGAGCCTTCTTTGTGATGTGTGCATTCAACTCACAGAGCTGAACCTTTCTTTTGATAGAGCTGTTTTGAAGCACTGTTTTTTTAGAATCTGCATGTGGAAATTTTCAGAGCTTCGAGGCCTGTGGTGGAGAAGGAAATATCTTCACATAAAAACTAGACAGAAGGATTCTCAGAAACTTCTTTGTGATGGTTGCATTCAACTCACAGAATTAAACATACCTTTTCATAGAGAAGTTTTGAAACACACTTTTCGTAGAATCTGCAAATGGATATTTGGACGGCTTTGAGGCCTTCGTTGGAAATGGGAAAATCTTCACATAAAAACGAAACAGAAGCATTCTCAGAAACTTCTTTGTGATGTGTGAATTCAACTCTCAGAGTTGAAGCTTTCTATTGATAGAGCAGTTTTGAAAAACCGTTTTTGTAGAATCTGCCAGTGGACATTTGGAGAGCTTTGAGGCCTACGGTGGAAAAGGAAATATCTTCACATAAAAACCAGACACAAAGATTCTCAGAAACTTCTTTGTGACGTTTGCATTCAACTCACAGAGTTGAACACACCTTTTCATAGAGCTGTTTTGAAGCACTCTTTTCGTAGAATCTGCAAGTGTATATTTGGAATGCTTTGAGGCCTTCATTGTAAACGAGAATATCTTCACATGAAAACGAGACAGAAGCATTCTCAGCAACGACTTTGTGATGATTGCATTCAACTCACTGTGTTAACCTTTATTTTGATAGGGCAGTTTTGAAACACTGTTTTTGTAGCATCTGCAAGTGGTGATTTGGAGAGCTTTGAGGCCTATGGTGGAAAAGGAAATATCTTCACATAAAAACAGGACAGAAGCATTTTCAGAATCTCCGCTGTGATGTTTGCATTGAACTCACAGAGTTGAACGTCCCTTTTCATAGAGCAGTTTTGAAACACTCTTCGTAGAATCTGCCAGTGGATATTTGGACTGATTGGAGGCCTTTGTTGGACACGGGAATATCTTCATATAAAAACTAGAAAGA
>NC_000021.9:11113957-11120627 GCF_000001405.40 Homo sapiens
AGCATTCATAGAAACTTCTTTGTGATGTATGCATTCAACTCACAGAGTTGAAACTATCTTATTATTGAGCAGTTTTGAATCTCTCTTTTTGCAGAATCTGCAACTGGATATTTGGAGCGCTTTGAGGCCTACCGTGGAAAAGCAAATATCTTCAGATAAAAGCTACACAGAAGCTTTCTGAGAAACTTTTTTGCGATGTGTGCATTCAACTCACAGAGTTGAAACTTTCTTTTGATTGAGCAGATTTGAAACACTCTTTTTGTAGAAACTGTAAGTTGATATTTGGAGCCCTTTGAGGCCTATTGTGGAAAAGGAAATATCTTCACGTAAAAACTACATAGAACCATTCTGAGATACTTCTTTTTGATGTTTGCATTCATCTCACAGTGTTGAAAGTTTCTTTTGATTGAGCAGTTTTGAAACACTCTTTTTGTAGAATCTGCAAGTGAATAATTGGAGCCCTTTGAGGGCTATGGTAGAAAAGGAAATATCTTCAAATAAGAACTACAAAGAAACATTCTCAGAAACTTATTTGTGATGTGAGCATTCAACTCACAGACCTGAACATATCTTTTGATTTAGCACTTTTGAATTTCTCTTTTTGTAGAATTTGCAAGTGGATATTTGGAGCGCTGTGAGACCTACTGTGGGAAATGAAATATGTTCACATAAAAACTACTCAGAACCATTCTGAGAAACTTCTTTGTGTCGTGTGCATTCGACTCACAGAGTTGAACATATGTCCTCTTTGAGCAGTTTTGCGTCTCTCTTTTTGTAGAATGTACAAGTGGATATTTGGAGCCCATTGTGTCCTATGGTGGAAAAGGAAATATCTTCAGATAAAAATTACACAGAAGAATTCTGAGAAACTTCTTTGTGATATGTGCATTTATCTCACAGGTTTGAACCTACCGTTTTATTGAGCAGTTTTGAAACACTGTTTTTGTAGAATCTGCAAGTGGATATTTAGAGGGAATTGAGGCCTACCGTGGAAAAGCATATACCTACAAACAAAAACTAAACAGAAGCATTCTGAGAAACTTCTTAGTGATGTGTGCATTCGTCTCACAGAGTTGAAACTTTCCTTTGATTGAGCAGTTTTGAAACACTCTTTTTGTAGAATCTGCAACTGGATATTTGGAGCCCTTTGAGGAATATTGTGGAAAAGGAAATATCTTCACATAAAAACTACACAGAAGCATTCTGAGAAACTTCTTTATGAGGAGTCCATTCAACCCACAGAGTTAAACTTTTCTTCTCATTGAGCAGTTTTGAATCTCTCTATTTGTAGAATCTGCAAGTGGATATTTGCTGCCCTTTGAGGCATACTGAGGAAAAGCAAATATCTTCATATAAAAACTACACAGAAGCATTCTGAGAAACTTCTTTGGGATGTGTGCATTCAACTCACAGAGTTGAACCTATCTTTTGATTGAGCAGATTTGAATCTCTCTTTTGGCAGAAACTGCAAGTAGATATTTGGAGCCATTTGCGGCCTTTTGTGGAAAAAGAAATATTTTCAAATAAAAACTAAACAGAAACATACTGAGAAACTTCTTTGTGATGTGTGCATTCATCTCACAGGGTTGAAACTATCTTATGATTGAGCAGTTTTGAAACACTCTTTTTGTAGAATCTGCAACTGGATATTTGGAGCCCTTTGAGGGCTATTGTGGAAAAGTAAATATCTTCACATAAAAACTATTCAGGAGCATTCTGATAAACTTCTTTGTGATGTATGCATTCAACTCACAGACTTGAACCTATCTTAAGAATGAGCAGTTTTGAATCTCTCTTTTTGCAGAATCTGCAACTGGATATTTTGAGGGCCTTAAGGCCTACCGTGGAAAAGCAATTATCTTCAGATTAAAACTACACAGAAGCATTCAGAGAAACATCTTTGTGATGTTTGCATTCATCTCACAGAGTTAAAACTTTCTCTTGATGGAGCAGTTTTGAAACACTCTTTTTGTAGAATCTGCAAGTGGATATTTGGAGCCCTTTGAGGCCTGTTGTGGAAAAGGAAATATCTTCCCATGAAAACTACATAGAAGTATTCTGAGAAACTTCTTTGCAATGTGTGCATTCAACTCACAAGAGTTGAACCTATCTTTTGATTGAGGATTTTTGAATCTTTCTTTTTGCAGAATCTGCAAGTGTATGTTTGCAAAGCTTTGTGGCCTATTGTGGAAAAGGAAATGTCTTCACATAAAAACTACACATAAATATTCTGGGAAAGTTCTTTGTGGTGCGTGCATTCATGTCATAGAGTTGAAACTTTCTTTTGATGGAGCAGTTTTGAAACACTCTTTTTGTACAATCTGCTAGTGGATAATTGGAGCCCTTTGAGGACTATTGTGGAAAAGGAAATATCTTCAAATAAAAACTACACAGAAGCATTCTGATAAACTTCTTTCTGATGTGTGCATTCAACTCACAGAGTTGAACCTATATTTTGATTGAGCAGTTTAGAAGCTCTCTTTTTGCAGAATCTGCAAGTGGATGTTTGGAGAGCTTTGAAACCTATTATGGAAAAGCAAATATCTTCACATAAAAACTACACAGAAGCATTCTGAGAAACTTCTCTGTGAGGTGTGCACTCAACCCACAGAGTTTAACTTATTTTCTCATTGAGCAGTTTTGAATCTCTCTTTTTATAAAATCTGCAGGTAGATATTTGGAGCTCTTTGAGCCCCATGGTGGAAAAGGAGATATCTTCAAATAAAAACTACACAGAAGCATTCATAGAAATTTCTTTGTGATGTATGCATTCAACTCACAGAGTTGAAACTATCTTATTATTGAGCAGTTTTTAATCTCTCTTTTGCAGAATCTGCAAGTGGATATTTGGAGCGCTTTGAGGCCTACTGTGGAAAAGCAAATAACTTCAGATAAAAGCTACACAAAAGCTTTCTGAGAAACTTTTTTGCGATGTGTGCATTCAACTCACAGAGTTGAAACTTTCTTTTGATTGAGCAGATTTGAAACACTCTTTTTGTAGAAACTGTAAGTTGATATTTGGAGCCCTTTGAGGCCTATTGTGGAAAAGGAAATATCTTCACATAAAAACTACATAGAATCATTCTGAGATACTTCTTTGTGATGCTTGCATTCATCTAACAATGTTGAAACTTTCTTTTCATTGAGCAGTTTTGAAACACTCTTTTTGTAGAATCTGCAAGTGGAATAATTGGATCCCTTTGCGCCCTGTGGTGGAGAAGGAAATATCTTCAAATAAGAACTACACAGAAACATTCTCAGAAACTTATTTGTGATGTGTGCATTCAACTCACAGGGCTGAACATATCTTTTGATTTAGCAGTTTTGAATTTCTCTTTTGGCAGAATCTGCAAGGGGATGTTTGGAGAGCTTTCAGGCATATTGTGGAAAGGGAAATATTTTCACATAAAAACTACACAGAACCATTCTGAGAAACTTCTTTGTGTCGTGTGCATTCAACTCACAGAGTTGAACATATGTCCTCTTTGAGCAGTTTTGCGTCTCTCTTTTTGTAGAATGTACAAGTGGATATTTGGAGCCCATTGTGTCCTATGGTGGAAAAGGAAATATCTTCAGATAAAAATTACACAGAAGAATTCTGAGAAACTTCTTTGTGATATGTGCATTTATCTCACAGGTTTGAACCTACCGTTTTATTGAGCAGTTTTGAAACACTGTTTTTGTAGAATCTGCAAGTGGATATTTAGAGGGAATTGAGGCCTACCGTGGAAAAGCATATACCTACAAACAAAAACTAAACAGAAGCATTCTGAGAAACTTCTTAGTGATGTGTGCATTCGTCTCACAGAGTTGAAACTTTCCTTTGATTGAGCAGTTTTGAAACACTCTTTTTGTAGAATCTGCAACTGGATATTTGGAGCCCTTTGAGGAATATTGTGGAAAAGGAAATATCTTCACATAAAAACTACACAGAAGCATTCTGAGAAACTTCTTTATGAGGAGTCCATTCAACCCACAGAGTTAAACTTTTCTTCTCATTGAGCAGTTTTGAATCTCTCTATTTGTAGAATCTGCAAGTGGATATTTGCTGCCCTTTGAGGCATACTGAGGAAAAGCAAATATCTTCATATAAAAACTACACAGAAGCATTCTGAGAAACTTCTTTGGGATGTGTGCATTCAACTCACAGAGTTGAACCTATCTTTTGATTGAGCAGATTTGAATCTCTCTTTTGGCAGAAACTGCAAGTAGATATTTGGAGCCATTTGCGGCCTTTGGTGGAAAAAGAAATATTTTCAAATAAAAACTAAACAGAAACATTCTCAGAAACTTATTTGTGATGTGTGCATTCAACTCACAGGGCTGAACATATCTTTTGATTTAGCAGTTTTGAATTTCTCTTTTTGTAGAATTTGCAAGTGGATATTTGGAGCACTGTGAGACCTACTGTGGGAAATGAAATATGTTCACATAAAAACTACTCAGAAGCATTCTGAGAAACTACTTTGTGATGTGTGCATTCAACTCACAGAGTTGAACCTATCTTTTGATCGAGCAGTTTTGAATCTCTCTTTTTGCAGAATCTGCAAGCGGATGTTTGGAGAACGTTGAGGCTTATTATGTAAAAGGGAATATTTTCACATAAATACTACACAGAAGCATTCAGAGAAACATCTTTGTGATGTTTGCATTCATCTCACAGAGTTAAAACTTTCTCTTGATGGAGCAGTTTTGAAACACTCTTTTTGTAGAATCTGCAAGTGGATATTTGGAGCCCTTTGAGGCCTGTTGTGGAAAAGGAAATATCTTCCCATGAAAACTACATAGAAGCATTCTGGGAAACTTCTTTGGGATGTGTGCATTCAACTCACAGAGTTGAACCTATCTTTTGATTGAGCAGTTTGGAATCTCTCTTTTTGAAGAATCTGCAAGTGTGTGTTTTCAAAGCTTTGTGGCCTATTGTGGAAAAGGAAATATCTTCACATAAAAACTACACATAAACATTCTGAGAAAGTTCTTTGCGGTGTGTGCATTCATCTCACGGAGTTGAAACTTTCTTTTGATTGAGCAGTTTTGAAACACTCTTTTTGTACAATCTGCAAGCTGATAATTGGAGCCCTTTGAGGACTATTGTGGAAAAGGAAATATCTTCACATAAAAACTACTCAGAAGCATTCTGATAAACTTCTTTCTGATGTGTGCATTCAACTCACAGAGTTGAACCTATATTTTGATTGAGCAGTTTAGAGGCTCTCTTTTTGCAGAATCTGCAAGTGGATGTTTGGAGAGCTTTGAAACCTATTATGGAAAAGCAAATATCTTCACATAAAAACTACACAGAAGCATTCTGAGAAACTTCTCTGTGAGGTGTGCACTCAACCCACAGAGTTTAACTTATTTTCTCATTGAGCAGTTTTGAATCTCTCTTTTTATAAAATCTGCAGGTAGATATTTGGAGCTCTTTGAGCCCCATGGTGGAAAAGGAAATATCTTCAAATAAAAACTACACAGAAGCATTCATAGAAATTTCTTTGTGATGTATGCATTCAACTCACAGAGTTGAAACTATCTTATTATTGAGCAGTTTTTAATCTCTCTTTTGCAGAATCTGCAAGTGGATATTTGGAACGCTTTGAGGCCTACTGTGGAAAAGCAAATAACTTCAGATAAAAGCTACACAAAAGCTTTCTGAGAAACTTTTTTTGCGATGTGTGCATTCAACTCACAGAGTTGAAACTTTCTTTTGATTGAGCAGATTTGAAACACTCTTTTTGTAGAAACGGTAAGTTGATATTTGGAGCCCTTTGAGGCCTATTGTGGAAAAGGAAATATCTTCACGTAAAAACTACATAGAACCATTCTGAGATACTTCTTTTTGATGTTTGCATTCATCTCACAGTGTTGAAACTTTCTTTTGATTGAGCAGTTTTGAAACACTCTTTTTGTAGAATCTGCAAGTGAATAATTGGAGCCCTTTGAGGGCTATGGTAGAAAAGGAAATATCTTCAAATAAGAACTACAAAGAAACATTCTCAGAAACTTATTTGTGATGTGTGCATTCAACTCACAGGGCTGAACATATCTTTTGATTTAGCAGTTTTGAATTTCTCTTTTTGCAGAATCTGCAAGGGGATGTTTGGAGAGCTTTCAGGCATATTGTGGAAAGGGAAATATTTTCACATAAAAACTACACAGAACCATTCTGAGAAACTTCTTTGTGTCGTGTGCATTCAACTCACAGAGTTGAACATATGTCCTCTTTGAGCAGTTTTGCGTCTCTCTTTTTGTAGAATGTACAAGTGGATATTTGGAGCCCATTGTGTCCTATGGTGGAAAAGGAAATATCTTCAGATAAAAATTACACAGAAGAATTCTGAGAAACTTCTTTGTGATATGTGCATTTATCTCACAGGTTTGAACCTACCGTTTTATTGAGCAGTTTTGAAACACTGTTTTTGTAGAATCTGCAAGTGGATATTTAGAGGGAATTGAGGCCTACCGTGGAAAAGCATATACCTACAAACAAAAACTAAACAGAAGCATTCTGAGAAACTTCTTAGTGATGTGTGCATTCGTCTCACAGAGTTGAAACTTTCCTTTGATTGAGCAGTTTTGAAACACTCTTTTTGTAGAATCTGCAACTGGATATTTGGAGCCCTTTGAGGAATATTGTGGAAAAGGAAATATCTTCACATAAAAACTACACAGA
>NC_000021.9:11120727-11123972 GCF_000001405.40 Homo sapiens
GGCATTCTGAGAAACTTCTTCGTGATGTGTGCATTCATCTCACAGAGTTGAACCTATCTTATGATTGAGCAGATTTGAAACACTGGCTTTGTAGATGCTGCAAGTGGATATTTGGAGCGCTTTGAGGCCTACTGTGGAAAAGGAAATATTTTCACATAAAAACCACACAGAAGCCTTCTGAGAAACTTCTTTGTGATGTGTCCATTCAACTCACTGCCTTGAACCTATCTTTTGATTGAGCAGTTTCGGATCTCTCTTTTTCAGGAACCTGCAAGTGGATGTTTGGAGCCCTTTGCGGTCCATGGAGGCAAAGGAAATATCTTCAAATAAAAACTACACAGAAGCGTTCTGAGAAACTTCTTTGTGATGTGTGCATTCATCTCACAGAGAAGAACCTATCTTATGACTGAGCAGCTTTGAAACACTCTCTTTGCAGAATCTTCAGGTGTATATTTGGAGTGCTTTTTGGCCTATTTTGTAAAAGGAAATATCTTCACATAAAACCTACACAGATTTATTCTGAGAAACTACTTTTTGTTGTGTGTATTCATCTAACAGAGTTGTACGTTTCTTTTGATTGAGCAGTTTTGAAACACAGTTTTTACAGAATGTGCAAGTGGATATTTGGAGCGCTTTGGGGCCTACTGTGGAAAAGCAAATATCTTCACGTAAAAACCACACAGAAGCATTCTAAGAAACTTCTTTGTGATGTGTGCATTCATCCCACAGAGATGAAAGTTTCTTTTGATTGAGAACTTTTGAAACACTCTTTTTGTAGAATCTGCAAGTGGATATTTGGAGCGCTTTTAGACCTACTGTGGAAAAGGAAATATCTTCCCATAAAAACTACACAGAAGCATTCTGAGAAACTTCTTTGCAATGTGTGCATTCAACTCATAGAGTTGAACCTATCTTTTGATTGAGCAGTTTTGAATTTCTCTGTTTGCAGAATCTGCAAGTGGATATTTGAAACCCTTTGCAGCCAATGGAGGATAAGGAAATATCTTCAAATAAATACTACACAGAAGCATTCTGAGAAACTTCTTTGTGATGTGTGCATTCATCTCATAGATTTGAACATATCTTATGATTGAGTACATTTGAAACACTCTCTTTGTAGAATCTGCAAGTGGATACTTGGAGGGCTTTCAGGACTGTTGTGGAAAAGGAAATATCTTCACGTAAAAACTTCACAAAAGCATTCTGAGATACTTCTTTATGATGTATGCACTCAACTCAGAGAGTTGAACCTATCTTTTGATTGAGAAGTTTTGAAACACTCTGTTTGTAGAATCTGCAAGTGGATATTTGGAGTGCTTTGAGGCCTATTGTGGAAAAGGTAATATCTTCACATAAAAACTACAAATAAGCATTCTGAGAAACTTCTTTGTGATGTGTGAATTCAAGTCACAGAGTTTAACCTATCTTTTGATTGAGCAGTTTTGAATCTCTCTTTTTGTAGAATCTGCAAGTGGATATTTGGTGGGCTTTGAGGCCTATTTTGGAAAAGGAAACATCTTCACATAAAAACTACACAGAAGCCTTCTGAGAAACTTCTTTGTGATGTGTCCATTCAACTCACAGCCTTGAACCTATCTTTTGATTGAGCAGTTTCGGATCTCTCTTTTTCAGGAACCTGCAAGTGGATGTTTGGAGCCCTTTGCGGTCCATGGAGGCAAAGGAAATATCTTCAAATAAAAACTACACAGAAGCATTCTAAGAAACTTCTTTGTGATGTGTGCATTCATCCCACAGAGATGAGCAGTTTCAATTGAGCAGTTTTGGATCTCTCTTTTTCTCGGATTTGCAAGTGGATATTTGGAGCCCTTTGCAGTCCATGGAGGCAAAGGAAATATCTTCAAATAAAAACTACAAATATTTATTCTGAGAAACTACTTTTTGTTGTGTGTATTCATCTAACAGAGTTGTACGTTTCTTTTGATTGAGCAGTTTTGAAACACAGTTTTTACAGAATGTGCAAGTGGATATTTGGAGCGCTTTGGGGCCTATTGTGGAAAAGCAAATATCTTCACGTAAAAACCACACAGAAGCATTCTGAGAAACAACTCTGTGATGTGTGCATTCATCCCACAGAGTTGAAAGTTTCTTTTGATTGAGAACTTTTGAAACACTCTTTTTGTAGAATCTGCAAGTGGATATTTGGAGTGCTTTTAGACCTATTGTGGAAAAGGAAATATCTTCCCATAAAAACTACACAGAAGCATTCTGAGAAACTTCTTTGTGATGTGTGCATTCATCTCATAGAGTTGAACGTATCTTTTGATTGAACAGTTTTGAATTTCTCTTTTTGCAGAATCTGCAAGTGGATATTTGAAGCCCTTTGCAGCCAATGGAGGATAAGGAAATATCTTCAAATAAATACTACACAGAAGCATTCTGAGAAACTTCTTTGTGATGTGTGCATTCATCTCATAGATTTGGACATATCTTATGATTGAGTACATTTGAAACACTCTCTTTGTAGAATCTGCAAGTGGATACTTGGAGGGCTTTCAGGACTGTTGTGGAAAAGAAAATATCTTCACGTAAAAACTACACAAAAGCATTCTGAGATACTTCTTTATGATGTATGCATTCAACTCAGAGAGTTGAACCTATCTTTTGATTGAGAAGTTTTGAAACACTCTGTTTGTAGAATCTGCAAGTGGATATTTGGAGTGCTTTGAGGCCTATTGTGGAAAAGGTAATATCTTCACATAAAAACTACAAATAAGCATTCTGAGAAACTACTTTGTGATGTGTGTGTTAAACTCACAGAGGTGAACTTATCTTTTGATTGAGCAGATTTGAATATCTCTTTTTGTAGGAGCTGCAAGTGGGTATTTGGAGCCCTTTGAGGCCTATTGTGGAAAAGAAAATATCTTCACATAAAAACAACACAGAAGCATTCTGAGAAACTTCTTTGTGATGTGTGCATTCAACTCACAGTCTTGAACCTATCTTTCAATTGAGCATTTTTGGATCTCTCTTTTTCTCGGATTTGCAAGTGGATATTTGGAGCCCTTTGCAGTCCATGGAGGCAAAGGAAATATCTTCAAATAAAAACTACACAGAAGCATTCTGAGAAACTTCTTTGTGATGTGTGCATTCATCTCACAGAGATGAACCTATCTTATGACTGAGCAGCTTTGAAACAGTCTCTTTGCAAAATCTTCAGGTGTATATTTGGAGTGCTTTTTGGCCTATTGTGTAAAAGGAAATATCTTCACATAAACCTACACAGA
>NC_000021.9:11124072-11146633 GCF_000001405.40 Homo sapiens
GGAATTCTGAGAGACTTCTTTGTGATGCGTGTACTCATCTTACAGAGTTAAACCTTCCTTTTGAATGAGCAGATTTGAAACTGTCTTTTTGTAGAATCTGCAAGTGGACATTTTGAGCGCCTTGAGGCCTATGGTGGAAAAGAAAATGCCTTCACATGAAAACTAGACAGAAGAATTCTGAGAAACTTCTTTCTTATGTGTGCGTTAATCTCACACAGTTGAACCTTTCTTTTGATTGAGCAGTTTCAAACACTCTTTTTGTAGAATCTGCAAGTGGACTTTTGGAGCACTTTGTGGCCTACGGTAGAAAAGGAAATATCGTCACATAAAATCTAGACAGAAGCAATCTGAGACTTCTTTGTGATGTGTGCATTCACCACACATTGTGTAACCTTTCCCTTGATTGAGCAGTTTTGAAACTCTTTTTGTAGAATCTACAAGTCTACATTTGGAGTGCTTTGAGGCCTATGGTAGAAAAGGAAATATCTTCACATAAAAACTAGTCAAAAGAATTCTGAGAAACTGCTTGGTGATGTGTGCGTTCACCACACAGAGCTGAACCATTGTTTTGATTGAGCAGTTTGGAAACCCTCTTTTTGTAGAATATGCAAGTGGACATTTGGAGTACTTTGATGCCCCTGGTCGAAAAGGAAATATCTTAACTTAAAAACTAGACAGAATAATTCTGGGAAACTTCTTTCTGATGTGTGCGTTCATCTCACAGAGTTAAACTTTTCATTTTATTGAGCAGTTTGGAAACACTCTTTTTGTAGAATCTGCAAGTGGACATTTGGAGCGCATTGTGGTATGCAGTAGAAAAGGAAATGTCTCCACAAAAAATGTAGACAGAAGCAGTCTTATAAACTTCTTTGTGATGTGTGCATTCATTTCACAGATTTGAACCTATCTTTAGATTGAGCAGTTTGGAAACACTCTTTTTGTAGAATCTGCAAGTGCACACGTGGAGAGATTTGCGGCCAATGGTAGAGAAGCAAATATCTTCGCATAAACTCTAGACAGAAGCATTCTGACAAACTTCTTTGTGATGTGTGCATTCATCTCACAAAGAATTGAAACTTTCTTTGATTCAGGAGCTTTGAAACACTCTTTTTGTAGAATCTGCAAGTGTACATTTGGAGCGCTTTGAGGCCTATGGTGGAAAAGGGAACATCTTCACATATAGAACAGACAGAAGCCTTCTGACAAACTTCTTTTCAATGTGTGCGTTCAACTCAAAGATTTGAACCTTACTTTTCATTGAGCAGATTTGAAACACTCTTTTTGTAGAATCTGCAAGTGGACAATTGGACCGCTTTCTGGCCTATGGTGGAAAAGGATGTATCGTCACATAAAAACTAGACAGAAATCTTCTGACAAACTTCTTTGTTATGCATGCATTCATCTTTCAGAGTTGAACCTTCCTTTTGATTGAGCAACTTTGAAACACTCTTTTTGTAGAATCTGCAAGTAGTCATTTGTAGCGCTTTGGAGACTATGGCGAAAAAGGAAATATCTTCCCATAAAAACTAGACAGAGGCATTCTGACAAACTTCTTTGTGATGTGGGCATTCATCTCACAGAGTTGAACCTTACTTTTCATTGAGCTATTTTGAAACACTCTTTTTGGAGAATCTGTAAGTGGACTTTTTGAGGGCTTTGACGCACGTGGTGGAAAAGGAAATATCTTCATATAAAAACTAGACAGAAGGATTCTGAGAAACTTCTTTGTGATGTGTGCATTCATCTCACAGAGTTGAACCTTACTTTTCATTGAGCAGTTTTGAAACACTCTTTTTGTAGAATCTGCAAGTGGACATTTGGAGAACTTTGAGGCCTGTGGTGTAAAAGGAAATATCTTCACATAAAAACTAGACAGAAGCATTCTGACAAACGTCTTTGTGATGTGTGCTTTCATCTCACAGAGTTGAACATTTCTTTTGATTTAGCAGCTTTGAAACACTCTTTTTGTAGAATCTGCCGTTGGACATTTGCGGCACTTCAAGCCAATGGTAGAAAAGGAAATACCTTCACATAGAAAGTAGATAGAAGCATTCTGACAAACTACTTTGTGATGTGTACATTCATCTCACAGAGCTGGACCTTTCTTTTGATTGAGCAGCTTTGAAACACTCTTTTTGTAGAATCTGCAATTGTACATTTGGAGCGCTTTGAGGTCTATGGTCGAAAAGCAAATATCTTCACAGAAAAACTAGACAGAAACATTCTGAGAAATTTCTTTGTGATGTGTGCAATCATCTCACAGAGTTGAACCTTACTTTTGATTGTCTAGTTTTGAAAAACTCTTTTTGTAGAATCTGAAAGTGGACATTTGGAGCGCTTTGAGTCCTATGATGGATAACGAAATATCTTCATATAATAAATAGAGAGAACTATTCTGAGAAACTTCTTTGGGATGTGTGCTTTCATCTCACAGAGTAAAACATTCTTTTGATCGAGCAGTTTTGTAAGTCTCTTTTTGTAGAATCTGCAAGTGGACATTTTGAGTCCTTTCAGGCCTATGGTGGAAAAAGAAATATCTACAAATTGAAACTCGACAGAAGAATTCTGAGAAACTCCTTTGTGATGCTTGCATTCATCTAACAGACTTGAACCTTTCTTTATGATTGAGCAGTTTGGAAACCCTCTTTTTGTAGAATCTGCTAGCGGATATCTGGAGCGTTTTGCAGCCTATGGTGGAAAAGGAAATATCTTCACATAAAAACTAAACAGATGTATTCTGAGAAACTTCTATGTGATGTGTGCATTCATCTCACAGAGTTGAACCTTTCTTTTGATTGAGCAGTTTGGAAACACTCTTTTTGTAGAGTCTGCAAGTGGACGTATGGAATGCTTTGAAGCCTATGGTAGAACAGGAAATATCTTCACATAAAATCTAGACAGAGGAATTCTGAGAGACTTCTTTGTGATGCGTGTACTCATCTTACAGAGTTAAACCTTCCTTTTGAATGAGCAGATTTGAAACTGTCTTTTTGTAGAATCTGCAAGTGGACATTTTGAGCGCCTTGAGGCCTATGGTGGAAAAGAAAATGCCTTCACATGAAAACTAGACAGAAGAATTCTGAGAAACTTCTTTCTGATGTGTGCGTTAATCTCACACAGTTAAACCTTTCTTTTGATTGAGCAGTTTCAAAACACTCTTTTTGTAGAATCTGCAAGTAGACATTTGGAGGGCTTTGTGGCCTACGGTAGAAAAGGAAATATCATCACATAAAATCTAGACAGAAGCAATCTGAGACTTCTTTGTGATGTGTGCATTCACCACACATTGTTTAACCTTTCCCTTGATTGAGCAGTTTTGAAACTCTTTTTGTAGAATCTACCAGTCTACATTTGGAGTGCTTTGAGGCCTATGGTGGAAAAGGAAATATCTTCACATAAAAACTAGTCAAAAGCATTCTGAGAAACCTCTTTGTGATGTTTGTATTCATCTCCCAGAGCTGAACCATTCTTTTTATGGACAGTTTTGAAATACTCTTTTTGTAGAATCTGCAAGTGGACAATTTGAGCACCTTGTGGCCTCTGGTGGAAAATGAAATATCTTTACATAAAAACTAGACTGAAGCATTATGATAAACTTTTTGTGATGTCTGCATACATCTCACAAGGAGTTGAAACTTTCTTTTGATTGAGAAGCTTTGCAACATTCTTTTTGTAGAATCTGCAAGTGGACATTTGGAGTGCTTTGAGGCCTATGGTGGATAACGAAATATGTTCACATAAAAATTGGACAGAAGCATTCTGAGAAACTTCTTTGTGATGTGCGCATTCATCTCACAGAGTTGAACCTCCCTTTTGATTGAGCACTTTGGAAGCACTCTTTCTGTAAAATCTGCAAGTGGACAATTGGAGTGCTTTGAGGTCTATGGTGGAAAACGAAATATCTTCACATAAAAATTGGACAGAAGCATTCTGACAAACTTCTTTGTGATGTGTGCATTCATCTCACAAAGAATTGAAACTTTCTTTGATTCAGGAGCTTTGAAACACTCTTTTTGTAGAATCTGCAAGTGTACATTTGGAGCGCTTTGAGGCCTATGGTGGAAAAGGGAACATCTTCACATATAGAACAGACAGAAGCATTCTGACAAACTTCTTTTCAATGTGTGCGTTCAACTCAAAGATTTGAACCTTACTTTTCATTGAGCAGGTTTGAAACACTCTTTTTGTAGAATCTGCAAGTGGACAATTGGACCGCTTTCTGGCCTATGGTGGAAAAGGATGTATCGTCACATAAAAACTAGACAGAAATCTTCTGACAAACTTCTTTGTTATGCATGCATTCATCTTTCAGAGTTGAACCTTCCTTTTGATTGAGCAACTTTGAAACACTCTTTTTGTAGAATCTGCAAGTAGTCATTTGTAGCGCTTTGGAGACTATGGTGAAAAAGGAAATATCTTCCCATAAAAACTAGACAAAAGCATTCTGACAAACTTCTTTGTGATGTGGGCATTCATCTCACAGAGTTGAACCTTACTTTTCATTGAGCAATTTTGAAACACTCTTTTTGGAGAATCTGTAAGTGGACATTTTGAGGGCTTTGACGCACATGGTGGAAAAGGAAATATCTTCATATATCTTCATATAAAAAACAGAAGCATTCTGACAACCTTCATGGTGATATGTGCATTCATCTCCCAGAGTTGAACCTTAGTTTTGATTGAGCAGTTTTGAAACACCCTTTTTGTAGTATCTGCAAGAGGACATTTAGAGTGCTTTGAGGCCTATGGTGGAAAAGGAAATACCCTCATATAAAAACGAGACAGAAGCATTCTGACAAACTACTTTGTGATGTGTACATTCATCTCACAGAGCTGGACCTTTCTTTTGATTGAGCAGCTTTGAAACACTCTTTTTGTAGAATCTGCAATTGGACATTTGGAGCGCTTTGAGGTCTATGGTCGAAAAGCAAATATCTTCACAGAAAAACTAGACAGAAGTATTTTGAAAAACTTCATTGTGACGTTTGCATTCATCTCACTGACGTGAACCTTTCTTTTGATTGAGCAGTTTTGAAAAACTCTTTTTGTAGGATCTGCATGTGGACATTTGGATCGCTTTGAGGCCTATGGAGGAAAAGAAAATATCTCCACCTAAAAACCATACAGAATTATTCTGAGAAACTTCTTTGTGATGTGTGCATTCATCTCACAAAGTTGAACCTTACTTTTCATTGAGCAATTTTGAAACACTCTTTTTGTAGAATCTGCAAGTGGACATTTGGAGCACTTTTAGATCTATGGTGGAAAAGGAAATATCTTCACATAAAAACTAGACAGAACTATTCTGAGAAACTTCTTTGGGATGTGTGCTTTCATCTCACAGAGTAAAACATTCTTTTGATCAAGCAGTTTTGTAAGTCTCTTTTTGTAGAATCTGCAAGTGGACATTTTGAGTCCTTTCAGGTCTATGGTGGAAAAGGAAATATCTACAAATTGAAACTTGACAGAAGAATTCTGAGAAACTCCTTTGTGATGCTTGCATTTATCTAACAGAGTTGAACCTTTCTTTATGATTGAGCAGTTCGGAAACCCTCTTTTTGTAGAATCTGCTAGCGGATATTTGGAGCGTTTTGCAGCCTATGGTGGAAAAGGAAATATCTTCACATAAAAACTAAACAGATGTATTCTGATAAACTTCTATGTGATGTGTGCGTTCATCTCACAGAGTTGAACCTTTCTTTTGATTGAGCAGTTTGGAAACACTCTTTTCGTAGAATCTGCAAGTAGACGTATGGAATGCTTTGAAGCCTATGGTAGAACAGGAAATATCTTCACATAAAATCTAGACAGAGGAATTCTGAGAGACTTCTTTGTGATGCGTGTACTCATCTTACAGAGTTAAACCTTCCTTTTGAATGAGCAGATTTGAAACTGTCTTTTTGTAGAATCTGCAAGTGGACATTTTGAGCGCCTTGAGGCCTATGGTGGAAAAGAAAATGCCTTCACATGAAAACTAGACAGAAGAATTCTGAGAAACTTCTTTCTGATGTGTGCGTTAATCTCACACAGTTGAACCTTTCTTTTGATTGAGCAGTTTCAAAACACTCTTTTTGTAGAATCTGCAAGTAGACATTTGGAGGGCTTTGTGGCCTACGGTAGAAAAGGAAATATCATCACATAAAATCTAGACAGAAGCAATCTGAGACTTCTTTGTGATGTGTGCATTCACCACACATTGTTTAACCTTTCCCTTGATTGAGCAGTTTTGAAACTCTTTTTGTAGAATCTACAAGTCTACATTTGGAGTGCTTTGAGGCCTATGGTGGAAAAGGAAATATCTTCACATAAAAACTAGTCAAAAGAATTCTGAGAAACTTCTTGGTGATGTGTGCGTTCACCTCACAGAGCTGAACCATTGTTTTGATTGAGCAGTTTGGAAACCCTCTTTTCGTAGAATATGCAAGTGGACATTTGGAGTACTTTGATGCCCCTGGTCGAAAAGGAAATATCTTAACTTAAAAACTAGACAGAAGCATTCTGAGAAACTTCTTTCTGATGTGTGAATTCATCTCACAGGGTTGAACCTCTCTTTTGAAAGACCAGTTTTGAAATATGCTTTTTGTAGAATCTGCAAGTAGAATTTTCGAGAGCCATGAGGCCTATGGTGGAATAGGAAATATCTCCACATAAAAACTAGACAGAACTATTCTGAGAAACTTCTTTGGGATGTGTGCTTTCATCTCACAGAGTAAAACATTCTTTTGATCGAGCAGTTTTGTAAGTCTCTTTTTGTAGAATCTGCAAGTGGACATTTTGAGTCCTTTCAGGTCTATGGTGGAAAAGGAAATATCTACAAATTGAAACTTGACAGAAGAATTCTGAGAAACTCCTTTGTGATGCTTGCATTCATCTAACAGACTTGAACCTTTCTTTATGATTGAGCAGTTTGGAAACCCTCTTTTTGTAGAATCTGCTAGCGGATATCTGGAGCGTTTTGCAGCCTATGGTGGAAAAGGAAATATCTTCACATAAAAACTAAACAGATGTATTCTGAGAAACTTCTATGTGATGTGTGCATTCATCTCACAGAGTTGAACCTTTCTTTTGATTGAGCAGTTTGGAAACACTCTTTTTGTAGAGTCTGCAAGTGGACGTATGGAATGCTTTGAAGCCTATGGTAGAACAGGAAATATCTTCACATAAAATCTAGACAGAGGAATTCTGAGAGACTTCTTTGTGATGCGTGTACTCATCTTACAGAGTTAAACCTTCCTTTTGAATGAGCAGATTTGAAACTGTCTTTTTGTAGAATCTGCAAGTGGACATTTTGAGCGCCTTGAGGCCTATGGTGGAAAAGAAAATGCCTTCACATGAAAACTAGACAGAAGAATTCTGAGAAACTTCTTTCTGATGTGTGCGTTAATCTCACACAGTTAAACCTTTCTTTTGATTGAGCAGTTTCAAAACACTCTTTTTGTAGAATCTGCAAGTAGACATTTGGAGGGCTTTGTGGCCTACGGTAGAAAAGGAAATATCATCACATAAAATCTAGACAGAAGCAATCTGAGACTTCTTTGTGATGTGTGCATTCACCACACATTGTTTAACCTTTCCCTTGATTGAGCAGTTTTGAAACTCTTTTTGTAGAATCTACCAGTCTACATTTGGAGTGCTTTGAGGCCTATGGTGGAAAAGGAAATATCTTCACATAAAAACTAGTCAAAAGAATTCTGAGAAACTGCTTGGTGATGTGTGCGTTCACCACACAGAGCTGAACCATTGTTTTGATTGAGCAGTTTGGAAACCCTCTTTTTGTAGAATCTGCAAGTGGACAATTTGAGCACCTTGTGGCCTCTGGTGGAAAATGAAATATCTTTACATAAAAACTAGACTGAATAATTCTGGGAAACTTCTTTCTGATGTGTGCGTTCATCTCACAGAGTTAAACTTTTCATTTTATTGAGCAGTTTGGAAACACTCTTTTTGTAGAATCTGCAAGTGGACATTTGGAGCGCATTGTGGTATGCAGTAGAAAAGGAAATGTCTCCACAAAAAATGTAGACAGAAGCATTCTGAGAAACTTCTTTGTGATGTGTGCATTCATCTTACAGGGTTGAACCTCCCTTTTGATTGAGCACTTTGGAAGCACTCTTTTTGTAAAATCTGCAAGTGGACAATTGGAGTGCTTTGAGGCCTATGGTGGAAAAGGAAATATCTTCACTTAAAAACTAGACAGAAGCATTCTGACAAACTTCTTTGTGATGTGTGCATTCATCTCACAAAGAATTGAAACTTTCTTTGATTCAGGAGCTTTGAAACACTCTTTTTGTAGAATCTGCAAGTGTACATTTGGAGCGCTTTGAGGCCTATGGTGGAAAAGGGGACATCTTCACATATAGAACAGACAGAAGCATTCTGACAAACTTCTTTTTGATGTGTGCGTTCAACTCACAGATTTGAACCTTACTTTTCATTGAGCAGATATGAAACACTCCTTTTGTAGAATCTGCAAGTGGACAATTGGACCGCTTTGTGGCCTATGGTGGAAAAGGATATATCGTCACATAAAAACTAGACAGAAATCTTCTGACAAACTTCTTTGTTATGTGTGCATTCATCTTTCAGAGTTGAACCTTTCTTTTGATTGAGCAACTTTGAAACACTGTTTTTGTAGAATCTGCAAGTAGTCATTTGGAGCGCTTTGGGGCCTATGGCAAAAAAGGAAATATCTTCACATAAAAACTAGACAGAAGCATTCTGACAAACTTCTTTGTGATGTGTGCATTCATCTCACAGAGTTGAAACTTACTTTTCATTGAGCAATTTTGAAACACTCTTTTTGGAGAATCTGTAAGTGGACATTTTGAGGGCTTTGACGCACATGGTGGAAAAGGAAATACCTTCACATAAAAACGAGACAGAAGCATTCTGACAAACTTCTTTGTGATGTGTGCATTCATCTCACAGAGTTGAACCTTACTTTTCATTGAGCAATTTTGAAACACTCTTTTTGGAGAATCTGTAAGTGGACATTTTGAGGGCTTTGACGCACATGGTGGAAAAGGAAATACCTTCACATAAAAACGAGACAGAAGCATTCTGACAAACTACTTTGTAATGTGTGCATTCATCTCTCAGAGCTGGACCTTTCTTTTGGTTGAACAGCTTTGAAACACTCTTTTTGTAGAATCTGCAAGTGGACATTTGGAGCGCTTTGAGGCCTATGGTGGAAAAGGAAATATCTTCACAGAAAAACTAGACAGAAGAATTCTGAGAAACTTCTTGTTGATGTGTGTGTTCACCTCACAGAGTTGAACCGTTGTTTTGATTGAGCAGTTTGGAAACCCTCTTTTTGTAGAATCTGCATGTGGACATTTGGAGCGCTTTGAGGCCTATGGTGGAAAAGGAAGTATCTTCACATAAAAACTAGACAGAATTATTCTGAGAAACTTCTTTGTGATGTGTGAATTCATCTCACAAAGTTGAACCTTACTTTTCATTGAGCAATTTTGAAACACTCTTTTTGTAGAATCTGCAAGTGGACATTTGGAGCACTTTTAGATCTATGGTGGAAAAGGAAATATCTTCACATAAAAACTAGACAGAACTATTCTGAGAAACTTCTTTGGGATGTGTGCTTTCATCTCACAGAGTAAAACATTCTTTTGATCGAGCAGTTTTGTAAGTCTCTTTTTGTAGAATCTGCAAGTGGACATTTTGAGTCCTTTCAGGCCTATGGTGGAAAAGGAAATATCTACAAATTGAAACTCGACAGAAGAATTCTGAGAAACTCCTTTGTGATGCTTGCATTCATCTAACAGACTTGAACCTTTCTTTATGATTGAGCAGTTTGGAAACCCTCTTTTTGTAGAATCTGCTAGCGGATATCTGGAGCGTTTTGCAGCCTATGGTGGAAAAGGAAATATCTTCACATAAAAACTAAACAGATGTATTCTGAGAAACTTCTATGTGATGTGTGCATTCATCTCACAGAGTTGAACCTTTCTTTTGATTGAGCAGTTTGGAAACACTCTTTTTGTAGAGTCTGCAAGTGGACGTATGGAATGCTTTGAAGCCTATGGTAGAACAGGAAATATCTTCACATAAAATCTAGACAGAGGAATTCTGAGAGACTTCTTTGTGATGCGTGTACTCATCTTACAGAGTTAAACCTTCCTTTTGAATGAGCAGATTTGAAACTGTCTTTTTGTAGAATCTGCAAGTGGACATTTTGAGCGCCTTGAGGCCTATGGTGGAAAAGAAAATGCCTTCACATGAAAACTAGACAGAAGAATTCTGAGAAACTTCTTTCTGATGTGTGCGTTAATCTCACACAGTTAAACCTTTCTTTTGATTGAGCAGTTTCAAAACACTCTTTTTGTAGAATCTGCAAGTAGACATTTGGAGGGCTTTGTGGCCTACGGTAGAAAAGGAAATATCATCACATAAAATCTAGACAGAAGCAGTCTTATAAACTTCTTTGTGATGTGTGCATTCATGTCACAGATTTGAACCTATCTTTAGATTGAGCAGTTTGGAAACACTCTTTTTGTAGAATCTGCAAGTGCACATGTGGAGAGATTTGTGGCCAATGGTAGAGAAGCAAATATCTTCGCATAAACTCTAGACAGAAGCATTCTGAGAAACCTCTTTGTGATGTTTGTATTCATCTCCCAGAGCTGAACCTTTCTTTTGATGGACAGTTTTGAAATACTCTTTTTGTAGAATCTGCAAGTGGACAATTTGAGCACCTTGTGGCCTCTGGTGGAAAATGAAATATCTTTACATAAAAACTAGACTGAATAATTCTGGGAAACTTCTTTCTGATGTGTGCGTTCATCTCACAGAGTTAAACTTTTCATTTTATTGAGCAGTTTGGAAACACTCTTTTTGTAGAATCTGCAAGTGGACATTTGGAGCGCATTGTGGTATGCAGTAGAAAAGGAAATGTCTCCACAAAAAATGTAGACAGAAGCAGTCTTATAAACTTCTTTGTGATGTGTGCATTCATCTTACAGGGTTGAACCTCCCTTTTGATTGAGCACTTTGGAAGCACTCTTTTTGTAAAATCTGCAAGTGGACAATTGGAGTGCTTTGAGGCCTATGGTGGAAAAGGAAATATCTTCACTTAAAAACTAGACAGAAGCATTCTGACAAACTTCTCTGTGATGTGTGCATTCATCTCACAAAGAATTGAAACTTTCTTTGATTCAGGAGCTTTGAAACACTCTTTTTGTAGAATCTGCAAGTGTACATTTGGAGCGCTTTGAGGCCTATGGTGGAAAAGGGGACATCTTCACATATAGAACAGACAGAAGCATTCTGACAAACTTCTTTTCGATGTGTGCGTTCAACTCACAGATTTGAACCTTACTTTTCATTGAGCAGATATGAAACACTCCTTTTGTAGAATCTGCAAGTGGACAATTGGACCGCTTTGTGGCCTATGGTGGAAAAGGATATATCGTCACATAAAAACTAGACAGAAATCTTCTGACAAACTTCTTTGTTATGCATGCATTCATCTTTCAGAGTTGAACCTTCCTTTTGATTGAGCAACTTTGAAACACTCTTTTTGTAGAATCTGCAAGTAGTCATTTGTAGCGCTTTGGAGACTATGGCGAAAAAGGAAATATCTTCCCATAAAAACTAGACAAAGGCATTCTGACAAACTTCTTTGTGATGTGGGCATTCATCTCACAGAGTTGAACCTTACTTTTCATTGAGCTATTTTGAAACACTCTTTTTGGAGAATCTGTAAGTGGACTTTTTGAGGGCTTTGACGCACGTGGTGGAAAAGGAAATATCTTCATATAAAAACTAGACAGAAGCATTCTGACAACCTTCATTGTGATATGTGCATTCATCTCCCAGAGTTGAACCTTAGTTTTGATTGAGCAGTTTTGAAACACCCTTTTTGTAGTATCTGCAAGAGGACATTTCGAGTGCTTTGAGGCCTATGGTGGAAAAGGAAATACCCTCATATAAAAACGAGACAGAAGCATTCTCACAAACTGCTTTGTGATGTGTGCATTCATCTCACAAAGTTGAAACTTTCTTTTGATTGAGCAGCTTTGAAACACTCTTTGTAGAGTCTGCAAGTGGACATTTGGAGCACTTTGAGGCCTACAGTGGAAAAGGAAATACCTTCACATAAAAATTAGACAGAAGCATTTTGAAAAACTTCTTTGTGACGTTTGCATTCATCTCACTGACTTGAAACTTTCTTTTGATTGAGCGGTTTTGAAAAACTCTTTTTGTAGGATCTGCAAGTGGACATTTAGAGCGCTTTGAGGCCTATGGTGGAAAAGAAAATATCTTCACCTAAAAACCAGACAGAAGCATTCTGACAACCTTCATTGTGATATGTGCATTCATCTAAGAGAGTTGAACCTTACTTTTGATTCAGCAGTTTTGAAACTCTCTTTTTGTAGAATCTGCAAGTGGACATTCGGAGCACTTTTAGACCTATGGTGGAAAAGGAAATATCTTCACATAAAAACTAGACAGAACTATTCTGAGAAACTTCTTTGGGATGTGTGCTTTCATCTCACAGAGTAAAACATTCTTTTGATCGAGCAGTTTTGTAAGTCTCTTTTTGTAGAATCTGCAAGTGGACATTTTGAGTCCTTTCAGGCCTATGGTGGAAAAGGAAATATCTACAAATTGAAACTCGACAGAAGAATTCTGAGAAACTCCTTTGTGATGCTTGCATTCATGTAACAGAGTTGAACCTTTCTTTATGATTGATCAGTTTGGAAACCCTCTTTTTTAGAATCTGCCAGCGGATATTTGGAGCGTTTTGCAGCCTATGGTGGAAAAGGAAATATCTTCACATGAAAACTAAATAGATGTATTCTGAGAAACTTCTATGTGATGTGTGCGTTCATCTCACAGAGTTGAACCTTTCTTTTGATTGAGCAGTTTGGAAACACTCTTTTTGTAGAATCTGCAAGTGGACGTATGGAATGCTTTGAAGCCTATGGTAGAACAGGAAATATCTTCACATAAAATCTGAACAGAGGAATTCTGAGAGACTCCTTTGTGATGTTTGTATTCATCTTACAGAATTAAACCTTCCTTTTGAATGAGCAGATTTGAAACTGTCTTTTTGTAGAATCTGCAAGTGGACATTTTGAGCGCCTGGAGGCCTATGGTGGAAAAGAAAATGGCTTCACATGAAAACTAGACAGAAGCATTCTGACAGACTTCTTTGTGATTTGTGCATTCATCTCATAGAGTTGAACCTTACTTTTCATTGAGCAGCTTTGAAACACTCTTTTTGTAGAATGTGCAAGTGGACATTTGGAGCCCTTTGAGGCCTATGGTGGAAAAGGAAATATCTTCACATAAAAACTAGACAGAAGCAATCTGAGACTTCTTTGTGATGTGTGCATTCACCACACATTGTTTAACCTTTCCCTTGATTGAGCAGTTTTGAAACTCTTTTTGTAGAATCTACCAGTCTACATTTGGAGTGCTTTGAGGCCTATGGTGGAAAAGGAAATATCTTCACATAAAAACTAGTCAAAAGCAATTCTGAGAAACTGCTTGGTGATGTGTGCGTTCACCACACAGAGCTGAACCATTGTTTTGATTGAGCAGTTTGGAAACCCTCTTTTTGTAGAATCTGCAAGTGGACAATTTGAGCACCTTGTGGCCTCTGGTGGAAAATGAAATATCTTTACATAAAAACTAGACTGAATAATTCTGGGAAACTTCTTTCTGATGTGTGCGTTCATCTCACAGAGTTAAACTTTTCATTTTATTGAGCAGTTTGGAAACACTCTTTTTGTAGAATCTGCAAGTGGACATTTGGAGCGCATTGTGGTATGCAGTAGAAAAGGAAATGTCTCCACAAAAAATGTAGACAGAAGCAGTCTTATAAACTTCTTTGTGATGTGTGCATTCATGTCACAGATTTGAACCTATCTTTAGATTGAGCAGTTTGGAAACACTCTTTTTGTAGAATCTGCAAGTGCACATGTGGAGAGATTTGTGGCCAATGGTAGAGAAGCAAATATCTTCTCATAAACTCTAGACAGAAGCATTCTGACAAACTTCTTTGTGATGTGTGCATTCATCTCACAAAGAATTGAAACTTTCCTTGATTCAGGAGCTTTGAAACACTCTTTTTGTAGAATCTGCAAGTGTACATTTGGAGCACTTTGAGGCCTATGGTGGAAAAGGGAACATCTTCACATACAGAACAGACAGAAGCATTCTGACAAACTTCTTTTCGATGTGTGCGTTCAACTCACAGATTTGAACCTTACTTTTCATTGAGCAGATATGAAACACTCTTTTTGTAGAATCTGCAAGTGGACAATTGGACCGCTTTGTGGCCTATGGTGGAAAAGGATATATCGTCACATAAAAACTAGACAGAAATCTTCTGACAAACTTCTTTGTTATGCATGCATTCATCTTTCAGAGTTGAAACTTCCTTTTGATTGAGCAACTTTGAAACACTCTTTTTGTAGAATCTGCAAGTAGTCATTTGTAGCGCTTTGGGGACTATGGCGAAAAAGGAAATATCTTCACATAAAAACTAGACAGAAGCATTCTGACAAACTTCTTTGTGATGTGGGCATTCATCTCACAGAGTTGAACCTTACTTTTCATTGAGCAATTTTGAAACACTCTTTTTGGAGAATCTGTAAGTGGACATTTTGAGGGCTTTGACGCACATGGTGGAAAAGGAAATATCTTCATATATCTTCATATAAAAAACAGAAGCATTCTGACAACCTTCATTGTGATATGTGCATTCATCTCCCAGAGTTGAACCTTAGTTTTGATTGAGCAGTTTTGAAACACCCTTTTTGTAGTATCTGCAAGAGGACATTTCGAGTGCTTTGAGGCCTATGGTGGAAAAGGAAATACCCTCATATAAAAACGAGACAGAAGCATTCTGACAAACTACTTTGTGCTGTGTGCATTCATCTCACAGAGCTGGACCTTTCTTTTGATTGAGCAGCTTTGAAACACTCTTTTTGTAGAATCTGCAATTGGACATTTGGAGCACTTTGAGGTCTATGGTCGAAAAGCAAATATCTTCACAGAAAAACTAGACAGAAGTATTTTGAAAAACTTCATTGTGACGTTTGCATTCATCTCACTGATGTGAACCTTTCTTTTGATTGAGCAGTTTTGAAAAACTCTTTTTGTAGGATCTGCATGTGGACATTTGGATCGCTTTGAGGCCTATGGAGGAAAAGAAAATATCTTCACCTAAAAACCATACAGAAGTATTCTGAGAAACTTCTTTGTGATGTGTGCATTCATCTCACAGAGTTGAACCTTACTTTTCATTGAGCAATTTTGAAACACTCTTTTTGTAGAATCTGCAAGTGGACATTTGGAGCACTTTTAGACCTATGGTGGAAAAGGAAATATCTTCACATAAAAACTAGACAGAACTATTCTGAGAAACTTCTTTGGGATGTGTGCTTTCATCTCACAGAGTAAAACATTCTTTTGATCGAGCAGTTTTGTAAGTCTCTTTTTGTAGAATCTGCAAGTGGACATTTTGAGTCCTTTCAGGCCTATGGTGGAAAAGGAAATATCTACAAATTGAAACTCGACAGAAGAATTCTGAGAAACTCCTTTGTGATGCTTGCATTCATCTAACAGACTTGAACCTTTCTTTATGATTGAGCAGTTTGGAAACCCTCTTTTTGTAGAATCTGCTAGCGGATATCTGGAGCGTTTTGCAGCCTATGGTGGAAAAGGAAATATCTTCACATAAAAACTAAACAGATGTATTCTGAGAAACTTCTATGTGATGTGTGCATTCATCTCACAGAGTTGAACCTTTCTTTTGATTGAGCAGTTTGGAAACACTCTTTTTGTAGAGTCTGCAAGTGGACGTATGGAATGCTTTGAAGCCTATGGTAGAACAGGAAATATCTTCACATAAAATCTAGACAGAGGAATTCTGAGAGACTTCTTTGTGATGCGTGTACTCATCTTACAGAGTTAAACCTTCCTTTTGAATGAGCAGATTTGAAACTGTCTTTTTGTAGAATCTGCAAGTGGACATTTTGAGCGCCTTGAGGCCTATGGTGGAAAAGAAAATGCCTTCACATGAAAACTAGACAGAAGAATTCTGAGAAACTTCTTTCTGATGTGTGCGTTAATCTCACACAGTTAAACCTTTCTTTTGATTGAGCAGTTTCAAAACACTCTTTTTGTAGAATCTGCAAGTAGACATTTGGAGGGCTTTGTGGCCTACGGTAGAAAAGGAAATATCATCACATAAAATCTAGACAGAAGCAATCTGAGACTTCTTTGTGATGTGTGCATTCACCACACATTGTTTAACCTTTCCCTTGATTGAGCAGTTTTGAAACTCTTTTTGTAGAATCTACAAGTCTACATTTGGCGTGCTTTGAGGCCTATGGTGGAAAAGGAAATATCTTCACATAAAAACTAGTCAAAAGAATTCTGAGAAACTGCTTGGTGATGTGTGCGTTCACCACACAGAGCTGAACCATTGTTTTGATTGAGCAGTTTGGAAACCCTCTTTTTGTAGAATCTGCAAGTGGACAATTTGAGCAACTTGTGGCCTCTGGTGGAAAATGAAATATCTTTACATAAAAACTAGACTGAATAATTCTGGGAAACTTCTTTCTGATGTGTGCGTTCATCTCACAGAGTTAAACTTTTCATTTTATTGAACAGTTTGGAAACACTCTTTTTGTAGAATCTGCAAGTGGACATTTGGAGAGCATTGTGGTATGCAGTAGAAAAGGAAATGTCTCCACAAAAAATGTAGACAGAAGCATTCTGAGAAACTTCTTTGTGACGTGTGCATTCATCTCACAGAGTTGAACCTCCCTTTTGATTGAGCACTTTCGAAGCACTCTTTCTGTAAAATCTGCAAGTGGACAATTGGAGTGCTTTGAGGCCTATGGTGGAAAAGGAAATATCTTCACTTAAAAACTAGACAGAAGCATTCTGACAAACTTCTTTGTGATGTGTGCATTCATCTCACAAAGAATTGAAACTTTCCTTGATTCAGGAGCTTTGAAACACTCTTTTTGTAGAATCTGCAAGTGTACATTTGGAGCACTTTGAGGCCTATGGTGGAAAAGGGAACATCTTCACATACAGAACAGACAGAAGCATTCTGACAAACTTCTTTTCGATGTGTGCATTCAACTCACAGATTTGAACCTTACTTTTCATTGAGCAGATTTGAAACACTCTTTTTGTAGAATCTGCAAGTGGACAATTGGACCGCTTTGTGGCCTATGGTGGAAAAGGATATATCGTCACATAAAAACTAGACAGAAATCTTCTGACAAACTTCTTTGTTATGCATGCATTCATCTTTCAGAGTTGAACCTTCCTTTTGATTGAGCAACTTTGAAACACTCTTTTTGTAGAATCTGCAAGTAGTCATTTGTAGCGCTTTGGAGACTATGGCGAAAAAGGAAATATCTTCCCATAAAAACTAGACAGAAGCATTCTGACAAACTTCTTTGCGATGTGTGCATTCATCTCACAGAGTTGAACCTTACTTTTCATTGAGCAATTTTGAAACACTCTTTTTGGAGAATCTGTAAGTGGACATTTTGAGGGCTTTGACGCACATGGTGGAAAAGGAAATACCTTCACATAAAAACGAGACAGAAGCATTCTGACAAACTACTTTGTAATGTGTGCATTCATCTCTCAGAGCTGGACCTTTCTTTTGATTGAACAGCTTTGAAACACTCTTTTTGTAGAATCTGCAAGTGGACATTTGGAGCGCTTTGAGGCCTATGGTGGAAAAGGAAATATCTTCACAGAAAAACTAGACAGAAGCATTCTGACAAACTACTTTGTGCTGTGTGCATTCATCTCACAGAGCTGGACCTTTCTTTTGATTGAGCAGCTTTGAAACACTCTTTTTGTAGAATCTGCAATTGGACATTTGGAGCACTTTGAGGTCTATGGTCGAAAAGCAAATATCTTCACAGAAAAACTAGACAGAAGCATTTTGAAAAACTTCTTTGTGACGTTTGCATTCATCTCACTGACTTGAAACTTTCTTTTGATTGAGCTGTTTTGAAAAACTCTTTTTGTAGGATCTGCAAGTGGACATTTAGAGTGCTTTGAGGGCTATGGTGGAAAAGAAAATATCTTCACCTAAAAACCAGACAGAAGCATTATGTTAAACTTTTTGTGATGTCTGCATACATCTCACAAAGAGTTGAAACTTTCTTTTGATTGAGCAGCTTTGCAACATTCTTTTTGTGGAATCTGCAAGTGGACATTTGGAGTGCTTTGAGACCTATGGTGGATAACGAAATATGTTCACATAAAAATTGGACAGAAGCATTCTGAGAAACTTCTTTGTGATGTGTGCATTCATCTCACAGAGTTGAACCTCCCTTTTGATTGAGCACTTTGGAAGCACTCTTTCTGTAAAATCTGCAAGTGGACAATTGGAGTGCTTTGAGGCCTATGGTGGAAAAGGAAATATCTTCACATAAGAACTAGACAGAAGAATTCTGAGAAACTCCTTTGTGATGCTTGCATTTATCTAACAGAGTTGAACCTTTCTTTATGATTGAGCAGTTCGGAAACCCTCTTTTTGTAGAATCTGCTAGCGGATATTTGGAGCGTTTTGCAGCCTATGGTGGAAAAGGAAATATCTTCACATAAAAACTAAACAAATGTATTCTGATAAACTTCTATGTGATGTGTGCGTTCATCTCACAGAGTTGAACCTTTCTTTTGATTGAGCAGTTTGGAAACACTCTTTTCGTAGAATCTGCAAGTAGACGTATGGAATGCTTTGAAGCCTATGGTAGAACAGGAAATATCTTCACATAAAATCTAGACAGAGGAATTCTGAGAGACTTCTTTGTGATGCGTGTACTCATCTTACAGAGTTAAAGCTTCCTTTTGAATGAGCAGATTTGAAACTGTCTTTTTGTAGAATCTGCAAGTGGACATTTTGAGCGCCTTGAGGCCTATGGTGGAAAAGAAAATGCCTTCACATGAAAACTAGACAGAAGAATTCTGAGAAACTTCTTTCTGATGTGTGCGTTAATCTCACACAGTTGAACCTTTCTTTTGATTGAGCAGTTTCAAAACACTCTTTTTGTAGAATCTGCAAGTAGACATTTGGAGGGCTTTGTGGCCTACGGTAGAAAAGGAAATATCATCACATAAAATCTAGACAGAAGCAATCTGAGACTTCTTTGTGATGTGTGCATTCACCACACATTGTTTAACCTTTCCCTTGATTGAGCAGTTTTGAAACTCTTTTTGTAGAATCTACAAGTCTACATTTGGAGTGCTTTGAGGCCTATGGTGGAAAAGGAAATATCTTCACATAAAAACTAGTCAAAAGAATTCTGAGAAACTTCTTGGTGATGTGTGCGTTCACCTCACAGGGCTGAACCATTGTTTTGATTGAGCAGTTTGGAAACCCTCTTTTCGTAGAATATGCAAGTGGACATTTGGAGTACTTTGATGCCCCTGGTCGAAAAGGAAATATCTTAACTTAAAAACTAGACAGAATAATTCTGGGAAACTTCTTTCTGATGTGTGCGTTCATCTCACAGAGTTAAACTTTTCATTTTATTGAACAGTTTGGAAACACTCTTTTTGTAGAATCTGCAAGTGGACATTTGGAGCGCATTGTGGTATGCAGTAGAAAAGGAAATGTCTCCACAAAAAATGTAGACAGAAGCATTATGATAAACTTTTTGTGATGTCTGCATACATCTCACAAAGTGTTGAAACTTTCTTTTGATTGAGCAGCTTTGCAACATTCTTTTTGTAGAATCTGCAAGTGGACATTTGGAGTGCTTTGAGGCCTATGGTGGAAAACGAAATATCTTCACATAAAAATTGGACAGAACCATTCTGAGAAACTTCTTTGTGATGTGTGCATTCATCTTACAGGGTTGAACCTCCCTTTTGATTGAGCACTTTGGAAGCACTCTTTTTGTAAAATCTGCAAGTGGACAATTGGAGTGCTTTGAGGCCTATGGTGGAAAAGGAAATATCTTCACTTAAAAACTAGACAGAAGCATTCTGACAAACTTCTTTTCAATGTGTGCGTTCAACTCAAAGATTTGAACCTTACTTTTCATTGAGCAGATTTGAAACACTCTTTTTGTAGAATCTGCAAGTGGACAATTGGACCGCTTTCTGGCCTATGGTGGAAAAGGATGTATCGTCACATAAAAACTAGACAGAAATCTTCTGACAAACTTCTTTGTTATGCATGCATTCATCTTTCAGAGTTGAAACTTCCTTTTGATTGAGCAACTTTGAAACACTCTTTTTGTAGAATCTGCAAGTAGTCATTTGTAGCGCTTTGGGGACTATGGCGAAAAAGGAAATATCTTCACATAAAAACTAGACAGAAGCATTCTGACAAACTTCTTTGTGATGTGGGCATTCATCTCACAGAGTTGAACCTTACTTTTCATTGAGCAATTTTGAAACACTCTTTTTGGAGAATCTGTAAGTGGACATTTTGAGGGCTTTGACGCACATGGTGGAAAAGGAAATATCTTCATATATCTTCATATAAAAAACAGAAGCATTCTGACAACCTTCATTGTGATATGTGCATTCATCTCCCAGAGTTGAACCTTAGTTTTGATTGAGCAGTTTTGAAACACCCTTTTTGTAGTATCTGCAAGAGGACATTTAGAGTGCTTTGAGGCCTATGGTGGAAAAGGAAATACCCTCATATAAAAACGAGACAGAAGCATTCTGACAAACTACTTTGTAAAGTGTGCATTCATCTCTCAGAGCTGGACCTTTCTTTTGATTGAACAGCTTTGAAACACTCTTTTTGTAGAATCTGCAAGTGGACATTTGGAGCGCTTTGAGGCCTATGGTGGAAAAGGAAATATCTTCACAGAAAAACTAGACAGAAGCATTTTGAAAAACTTCTTTGTGACGTTTGCATTCATCTCACTGACTTGAAACTTTCTTTTGATTGAGCTGTTTCGAAAAACTCTTTTTGTAGGATCTGCAAGTGGACATTTAGAGCGCTTTGAGGCCTATGGTGGAAAAGAAAATATCTTCACCTAAAAACCAGACAGAAGCATTCTGAGAAATTTCTTTGTGATGTGTGCAATCATCTCACAGAGTTGAACCTTACTTTTGATTGTCCAGTTTTGAAACACTCTTTTTGTAGAATCTAAAAGTGGACATTTGGAGCGCTTTGAGGCCTATGGTGGATAATGAAATATCTTCATATAATAAATAGAGAGAACAATTCTGAGAAACTTCTTTGGGATGTGTGCATTCATCTCACAGAGTAAAACATTCTTTTGATCCAGCAGTTTTGTAAGTATCTTTTTGTAGAATCTGCAAGTGGACATTTTGAGCCCTTTCAGGCCTATGGTGGAAAAGGAAATATCTACAAATTGAAACTCGGCAGAAGAATTCTGAGAAACTCCTTTGTGATGCTTGCATTTATCTAACAGAGTTGAACCTTTCTTTATGATTGAGCAGTTCGGAAACCCTCTTTTTGTAGAATCTGCTAGCGGATATTTGGAGCGTTTTGCAGCCTATGGTGGAAAAGGAAATATCTTCACATAAAAACTAAGCAGATGTATTCTGATAAACTTCTATGTGATGTGTGCGTTCATCTCACAGAGTTGAACCTTTCTTTTGATTGAGCAGTTTGGAAACACTCTTTTCGTAGAATCTGCAAGTAGATGTATGGAATGCTTTGAAGCCTATGGTAGAACAGGAAATATCTTCACATAAAATCTAGACAGAGGAATTCTGAGAGACTCCTTTGTGATGTTTGTATTCATCTTACAGAATTAAACCTTCCTTTTGAATGAGCAGATTTGAAACTGTCTTTTTGTAGAATCTGCAAGTGGACATTTTGAGCGCCTGGAGGCCTATGGTGGAAAAGAAAATGGCTTCACATGAAAACTAGACAGAAGAATTCTGAGAAACTTCTTTCTTATGTGTGCGTTAATCTCACACAGTTGAACCTTTCTTTTGATTGAGCAGTTTCAAACACTCTTTTTGTAGAATCTGCAAGTGGACTTTTGGAGCACTTTGTGGCCTACGGTAGAAAAGGAAATATCATCACATAAAATCTAGACAGAAGCAATCTGAGACTTCTTTGTGATGTGTGCATTCACCACACATTGTTTAACCTTTCCCTTGATTGAGCAGTTTTGAAACTCTTTTTGTAGAATCTACAAGTCTACATTTGGAGTGCTTTGAGGCCTATGGTGGAAAAGGAAATATCTTCACATAAAAACTAGTCAAAAGAATTCTGAGAAACTGCTTGGTGATGTGTGCGTTCACCACACAGAGCTGAACCATTGTTTTGATTGAGCAGTTTGGAAACCCTCTTTTTGTAGAATCTGCAAGTGGACAATTTGAGCAACTTGTGGCCTCTGGTGGAAAATGAAATATCTTTACATAAAAACTAGACTGAATAATTCTGGGAAACTTCTTTCTGATGTGTGCGTTCATCTCACAGAGTTAAACTTTTCATTTTATTGAGCAGTTTGGAAACACTCTTTTTGTAGAATCTGCAAGTGGACATTTGGAGCGCATTGTGGTATGCAGTAGAAAAGGAAATGTCTCCACAAAAAATGTAGACAGA
>NC_000021.9:12281044-12281384 GCF_000001405.40 Homo sapiens
ATAATTCTCAGTAACTTCCTTGTGTTGTGTGTATTCAACTCACAGAGTTGAAGGATCCTTTACAGAGAGCAGGCTTGAAACACTCTTTTTGTCGAATTTGCAAGTGGAGATTTCAGCCGCTTTGAGGTCAAAGGTAGAATAGGAAATATCTTCTTATAGAAACTAGACACAATGATTCTCAGAAAATCTTTTGTGATGTGTGCGTTCAACTCACAGAGTTTAACTTTTCTTCTCATAGAGCAGTTAGGAAACACTCTGTTTGTAAAGTCTGCAAGTGGATATTCAGACCTCTTTGAGGCCTTCGTTGGAAACGGGATTTCTTCATATTATGCTAGACAGA
>NC_000021.9:12281484-12281824 GCF_000001405.40 Homo sapiens
ATCATTCTCAGAAACTGCTCTGCGATGTGTGCGTTCAACTCTCAGAGTTTAACTTTTCTTTTCATTCAGCAGTTTGGAAACACTCTGTTTGTAAAGTCTGCACGTGGATATTTTGACCACTTAGAGGCCTTCGTTGGAAACGGGTTTTTTTCCTGTAAGGCTAGACAGAAGAATTCCCAGTAACTTCCTTGTGTTGTGTGTGTTCAACTCACAGAGTTGAACTTTCATTTACACAGAGCAGATTTGAAACACTCTTTTTGTGGAATTTGCAAGTGGAGATTTCAAGCGCTTTGAGGCCAAAGGCAGAAAAGGAAATATCTTCGTTTCAAAACTAGACAGA
>NC_000021.9:12281924-12283122 GCF_000001405.40 Homo sapiens
AATATTCTGGGAAAGTTCTTTGTGGTGCGTGCATTCATGTCATAGAGTTGAAACTTTCTTTTGATGGAGCAGTTTTGAAACACTCTTTTTGTACAATCTGCTAGTGGATAATTGGAGCCCTTTGAGGACTATTGTGGAAAAGGAAATATCTTCACGTAAAAACTACATAGAACCATTCTGAGATACTTCTTTTTGATGTTTGCATTCATCTCACAGTGTTGAAACTTTCTTTTGATTGAGCAGTTTTGAAACACTCTTTTTGTAGAATCTGCAAGTGAATAATTGGAGCCCTTTGAGGGCTATGGTAGAAAAGGAAATATCTTCAAATAAGAACTACAAAGAAACATTCTCAGAAACTTATTTGTGATGTGTGCATTCAACTCACAGGGCTGAACATATCTTTTGATTTAGCAGTTTTGAATTTCTCTTTTTGCAGAATCTGCAAGGGGATGTTTGGAGAGCTTTCAGGCATATTGTGGAAAGGGAAATATTTTCACATAAAAACTACACAGAACCATTCTGAGAAACTTCTTTGTGTCGTGTGCATTCAACTCACAGAGTTGAACATATGTCCTCTTTGAGCAGTTTTGCGTCTCTCTTTTTGTAGAATGTACAAGTGGATATTTGGAGCCCATTGTGTCCTATGGTGGAAAAGGAAATATCTTCAGATAAAAATTACACAGAAGCATTCTGATAAACTTCTTTGTGATGTATGCATTCAACTCACAGACTTGAACCTATCTTAAGAATGAGCAGTTTTGAATCTCTCTTTTTGCAGAATCTGCAACTGGATATTTTGAGGGCCTTAAGGCCTACCGTGGAAAAGCAATTATCTTCAGATTAAAACTACACAGAAGCATTCAGAGAAACATCTTTGTGATGTTTGCATTCATCTCACAGAGTTAAAACTTTCTCTTGATGGAGCAGTTTTGAAACACTCTTTTTGTAGAATCTGCAAGTGGATATTTGGAGCCCTTTGAGGCCTGTTGTGGAAAAGGAAATATCTTCCCATGAAAACTACATAGAAGTATTCTGAGAAACTTCTTTGCAATGTGTGCATTCAACTCACAAGAGTTGAACCTATCTTTTGATTGAGGATTTTTGAATCTTTCTTTTTGCAGAATCTGCAAGTGTATGTTTGCAAAGCTTTGTGGCCTATTGTGGAAAAGGAAATGTCTTCACATAAAAACTACACATA